>NT_187374.1:0-176845 GCF_000001405.40 Homo sapiens
GAATTCACTCAGCAGTCAGAAGAAAAGGAAGCCTCTTGTTGGAATTCATACTAAGAAGATCAGAAAGTGTAGTGGAAAAGAGAGGACTAGAACTGCAGGTGCAAGTAGAAGTTGGTGTCCAAAAAGAAGTGTATTTGTATTGTTCATTTGACCTCATTTATTTTAGTATGCAAGCGTGTGCTTAAAAATATTTCAGCCTTCTTTTTACTATATATGCAACTCATCATCATTTATTGAGAGATTATATATCCATCATTACTTCAATGATCTCATTTTTAGCTTTCTTCTTCTTTATTAATGGATGCAGTAACTTCTGGCATTCCCCTGAGAATATTAATTCTACTTATTTGGAAGTACTCTTTTTATTGCTCTCTGCTGTCTTTCTTTTGTATTTTATACATCTTTCATTTGCTTTATGTTATTTTAAATCTTACCCTATGCACTTACAATGATGGCACTTCTCTGAATGACTGTTGATTTTCTTCCTTTCTTTCTTTTTTTCATGTTGTCTACATTTTTTTTTCAAGGTGAGTTTCTGCTAGACTGTTATTACTGAGCAATCCTTTGGTAGAGAAGGAGGTTCATGCTGCTACAGGCCACAATTTGCCTCATTTGCAGTCAGATCAGGCTTTTTGTCAGAGAGAGGACATGCCCATTAGGCAATATGTATTCAGATATTTCCAACTGATCGCTGCCTTTTCTTTCTGATTCAAATTCCCATTCTCAATATATTTACCTAATGTATGCCTCCCTTTTGCCTTTTTAAGCAAGACTAAAAAATCAATACCCTTGAAAAAAATTGATTAATTTGGCTAACTTAAATTTAAAGTCTTCACTTCTAGCAAAATAGTTTTACTACATGTTTTTTACTATGAGAAAATATGTAAACTATGTATACCAAAGCAAATGTATAAATAATTTAGAAAAATAAAAATATTTCAATAGAAAAGTGGGAAAATGTAAAAATAGGTACTTACTGGAAGAATCAAGAGATTAGTTCTAAAGACCTTAATTATTTATTTAAACTAATTTAATTAAAATTTTAAAAATAATTAAATTTTTCAATAATCAAGTAAAACAAATTAAACTTAAACAATAGAACCTTTTATTTTGAGATGCAAAAGCATGAATCAAAGACATCTGTAAAGCTTAAATGTATTCAGATTGTAAAGCTAACCCATGTAAACCAAACTAGGCCAGGAATTAGACTATATTAGTGCCCCAGACTCCCCCAAGTGTCCCTTCCTAAAAGAAGCTCCTCTCACCCTAAGTTTTATGTATAATTTTTTTGCTGTGCTTCAAAAAGGTATAGCATGTATGCATCTCTGAACAACATACCTTAGTTTTTTTTGGCCTGCTTTGATAATTACTATGAAATCCTCTTTCTGTATTATTTTGTGCCACACTCCTTTTGTTCAACATATGTTTATGAGTGACAGCCCTGTTGTTGCAAGCGGTTGTAATTTATTTATTTTCACTGCTCTATAATATTTGATTGTTTATATAGATGAGAATTTTCTATTTTATTCCTTATATACATTTGTGTTATTTTAAAGTTTGGGTGCTTAGGAGCAAAGTCAATATGAAAATACTTGGACATATGCTCTCAGAATTATATGCATAAGTTTATCTACAACATATAACTATCCAAGGAATTTTAGGAGCAAACATATGTGGATACTTATTTAATCACAGACTAACTTTTTTTCAAATCAGTTGTATCAATTTATACTTCTTCCTGTGGTACCTAAGATTTCATAAAATTATACTTTCAATCCATGGGTTTAGCAAAATAATTCAAAGTTTAATAATATCAAATTGACATCTATAATTTAAGACCACTTTAGATGAAAATTTTTGATATCTATTAAATTTTACAATGTGAATAACTTATAAGCACAATTTTCCTTAACTCATCATCTGTCTTACGAAATACTAACATATGTGCAATAAAATGCAATAGGATGTCAATTACAGCTTTTTAAAAATAGTCAAAAGCCCATTAAATAGATTAAATGTCCACCAATAGAGAAATGGCTAAGTAAATATGACATATCTAAGAGTTAAAGAAATGATAAAGATTAACATGTGTTGAATCACTAAGATTTCCAATACATATTAAATTGAAAAATAAAAACACATTATTGTGGTTAAAAATACACAAAGTATTAGATTATCAAATCAGACTCACATGCATCGGAGATCTTATGCAAACTTAACTAATAATTTTATGGATAAAAATTATTGTGAGGTACAGGTGGAGCAAGGTAAGGTCAGATAGCACTGTGAGAATCCCTGGGTCCTTTCCTCCCACATCAGATATGCTTTGAACAAGGATAATAGATGATGATTCTGAGTAAGATGTGCGGTCATCTCACTTACACAGAGGAGATATTTAGATCACAAAATATCTCATTTTGTCTTTAGATGGTCCAGGAAACTATGCCCCATGAGTCAAAGAGATTTAGGTTTTATTATAAACAACCCTAGAAAAGAAATCACAGCACATACATTCTTCTAAAAGCATTCTGTAGGTAAGATATTCCTCCCTGGAAACTTCTTAGTTTGTTTGCCAAGAGGTTAGCCAGTTATATGGTTACCAAAAAACCTGCCTTCTTTGTCTCCAGCATGTTTCTTATTAAAGAGAATGAATGAATTGCAGAACTATTGTTTGCACATTTACTTTTAAATGGTTTATCAGTAAAATATGTGAGAATACATTTTTAAAATGAACTTATGTGATTGCTTTGGAAAATGTCTGGAAATACGCAAACCACACTGATAATAATGGCCTTCTGGGGATGAACCAACACACAATAGATTTACTGGTAATCGTTTGATTTTTTCAAAAGTACTACATTCCTGTATAATTTGCATGATTAAAATGTATTTAATATAATTTCCACCCGTGATAATTTTCTTGTGTATAAATAGGACATTGCTCTTGCTATTAGCAGCTATATACTGTAATATTTCTAGTTGAACCACAGGGTTTAGCAGACTTCAGCCCATATACTGAACCTGTCCTATTGCCTGTTTTTGTACAACCTGCAGCTAAGAATGTTTTTATATTTTTTGAATAATACAAAAATATCAACAGAAGAATAGTAGTCCGTAACACAAAATTAACAAAATATAACATTTGTGTCTATGAATAAAGTTGATAATATTGTAGCCACAGCCATTTGTTTGCATATTGTCTACTTTCTTGTTACAACAGGGTTTAGCAGTTGTGGCAGAGACTTCTACAATGTTCCCAAAGCCTAAAATATTTACTGTCTTACCCTTTATAGAAATAAATACTTTGCTGACACTGTGACTCATAATAATGTTTGCAACTACTTTTTGAATAAGCTCAGAAGTTTACAGACACACACTCCTAAAATATTTGTTATATTGCTCTTTATAGAAATAATTTGCTTATCCCTGTGAATTATAGTGATGTATACAACTGATTTTTGAATAAGTTAAAAAATTTAGCTGGGGCGGTGCCTCACACCTGTAATCCCAGCACTTTGGGAGGCTGAGGCAGGCAGATCACCTGAGGTCGGGAGTTCAAGACCAGCCTGACCAATGTGGAGAAACCCAGTCTCTACTAAAAATACAAAATTAGCTGGGTGTGGTGGCGCATGCCTGTAATCTCAGCTACTCGGGAGGCTGAGGCAGGAGAATCGCTTGAACCTGGGAGGCGGAGGTTACAGTGAGCCGAGATTGCACCATTGCACTCCAGCCTGGGCAACAAGAGCGAAACTCAGTCTCAAAAAAAAAAAAAAAACTTTACACACACACACACAAACATGGATTATGGATTGAGTTGCATGTATTTGAATATTAGTTTTGTTATTCTTGCAACTTATTAGGGGGTTTGACACTTTTTCTAAATTACAATTGGGTGAAATTTTTGCAATTGATAAATTGCTAGATAACATAATCTAGCTCATATTATATGATAACTTTAGATGTTAAATCAGTAATAAACCTTATGAAGATCTATGTTTCTAGGAAACAATTACTTCAACAAGAAGGGAAAGTAAAGACAGAAGGTAAAACAAAATATAAGATGAAATAAAATAAAGATGGGAATTGAATGCCATAGAAGTGTGGAAGTTGGAAGGAAAGTTTCTAAAATTATTTGGATAAAAAGGAAGCCATATATTTTACTGAATCTTCTAGATGGGTTTTAATTCTGTATCCTTTCATACTCATGTACTATGCCTTTTTTTTCAACTTTTCATTCCACTTCTACTTCCTAACTTATGATGAATTTACCTATATAGAGTCCTTTTATCATTTAGACTAAAATTGTATTTATTTGAAGGTAAGAACGGTCATATACTTCTTAGTTGTTTTCAGAATTGAAAACATGGTTGAGGCCAGGCACGGTGTCTCTCATCTGTAATCCTAGCACTTTGAGAGGCCGAGGCGGGGGGACTACGAGATCAGGAGTTCGATACCAGCCTGACCAACATGGAGAAACGTGGTCTCTACTAAAAATACAAAATTAGCTGGGCATGGTAGTGCACACCTGTAATCCCAGCTATTTGGGAGGCTGAGTAAGGAGAATCGCTTGAACCCTGGAGGCAGAGGTTGCAGTGAGCCAAGATCACGCCATTGCACTCCAGCCTGGGCAACAAGAGCAAAACTCATCTCAAAAGAAAAAAAAAAAAAGAAAACATGGTTGAAAGTCAATATCCATGTGATAAATTGAGTTAGAAAGCCAATGAGAGCTTAGCTAATATAAAGGTGATGGAATTCACTATCAAAACTTTTCAGAGACTTAGAAAAAATATGGAAAATTAGTGAAAATGTAACAGAATGAGGCTTGAAATCAAGATAATTAAACTGCAAACTTTAAGAAGGCAGGAAAGATATCCTTTACTTAGTTTGTCTTGTCCAACTAATGGTTAGTTGAATGCCATGCACATAACGCATCCCTCTGAGTACTTATTGAATAAATGTAGAATGTCATTCTGGAATAAATTGAGGCAAGAAACTAGAGGGATAGCAGTGTGAAAAGTGAGATTAATTTATTTGGTATAGAGTCAGTAAATTTAAGTGGGCCATTTGAAACAACAAGCTTAAAAGAAAACCAAATAAGCATTTTCAATGCATAGAAATGCAACCATTTTTCTCCTTCTGTACTTTATCCATTCAAACATTGCTTGAAAAAAAATATAACTTTCAGTCTTGCTTTTTTATCTCCACCAAACTCAGATAATTTTGGTCATTGATGACCTAAGCTAATTCCTATTTTAGAATGCTATGGACGAATGAATCTCAAAACTTCTTTTAACCAATTTATTTTATTCCATTTCCTAAGGAATAGAAACTTTTTACCTCCAACCAGGGGAGCTATGAAACAAACTCCCTATTTATTTCCAATCTAAACACATTTGATAAAACAGGCAGAGGAATTTTTTATCAGATCTGTATTTTAAATTTTCATGACTGTTGTTCAAGAGTTTCCATTCTTCTTCATAAATATGTAGAGGCTTAAAATTCTTTTCTGAAAAATAAACTGCTACTTTAAATGATTTTAACTCATATTTATAATACCTTTTTTTATTCTCTGATGATCTCTTGCTGTTTTTCTTTCTCTAGAAATGTTCTAAGAATAAATTAGCTGATATACTAAGAAAGGTTCACAAAATGAGTCCTTCACCTATACAGCACCTCTTCTAAATAACAGAGAGATTACAAATCCAATGTATTTAAACTCTGAGATGTCTATATGTGTAGTGTTAAAAAATGTAGCTGTCAGTTTTAACAGCTTTTCCCCTGAGATTTCAGTGGCTAGCTAATGATCTCTTTTAAGGATTAGGACAATTTCTAGATAGTGAAATGGCAGGAAAACATATCAAATACATATTTTTCCATTATACTATTCTGAGGACTGTAAAGTCTTACTCAATGTATATCACTTTTAATTTTTAGGATACATAGAAATATTTGCTAGTAGAAATAAATGGCAACTGTTTACTTGAAGATGGTTTAGAAAGATGCTTTTCTCTTTTAATTTGAATTGCTACTGTAAATGTCATCACATGTATTTCAGTATTGTCTATGCCAACTTTGTACCTGAAAAACAGTATTATGAATTGGGCATTATATTCCATCTTCATAAATTAAAAAAGAAACATAATAACTAGCGAAGTGGAATGAGGAAGGTGTGGGGAGACACAGAATTTTTCAAAAGTAGTAACAAATTCAAGCATGTATTAGCTTAATATATCATAACTTAAATGATTTAAATTAGGTATATGTTTATAACAATAAGTTTTAAATTCTTAATTCTAACCTCATCAAGTACCAACAAAGAATGCCCTTCCATATTAATACACTTTGGGAATTAAGATAAAGTATATGTAATTAAATCATCAAACTCCTTTTGTTGTTTAGCAGGTAGTTTGATATAATAAGAGAAATTGTGTTCTCATTATATATTTGTCACAATGAATGAATGTAAAACCTTAATCAGGCTATCTGACTTCTTTTAGTGACATTACCCTTTTTGCAACCAACACATCAAATTAGTAATATTTATCCTACAAAAATAATGTGAAGATAAATGAGATAACATATATAATAGTCACAAATACTTATTGAATAAAGCTGTTTTTATTTATATATTTCTATGTACTTACTAGATATGTTCTTATTAAATATTTTATTATGGTATATGTCAAGTCTTTTACTTCTTTTTTTATACTTAGTATATTATAGAACTCATCTTCCAATAAAATTGTAATACAATTTTCTTGATTTACTAATCCTAGGTGAAAAATATATATATATATATATGTTGTCTTCTGTTTGAATTATGCTTAGTGGATGGCATTTTCAATAATCTCTCTGATTCTTCCTTTTCCTGTTTAAACTACTCTCATTCTCATTGTGGCCTAGAGTTCTTTTTCCCTAATATTGCCTTCAGAAGGCTAAGTTTCTAATATAATAACAATTTGAGTCTTTACCACTTCTCTCTAGAATCGTGATTTAGACTAGGTTATTAGAGTAAACAATATGATTCCAAATTTTTTCTTTTTTTTTAATGGGCTAGCATCCAAAAAGCTTAAGAATTCTTGGGGGAAATGACATAATTAAGCTAGATTATTTTAATTTAAATTCAGAATTAAAAATCATTTTCAATAGCTTCTTTGTCTTAATTTAACAAGCTTTTGTTGAACATTGATTATATTTTGAATTCTATTTTTTCTTTTATTTTTAGTTGGCACATAATTATACGTATTTATGGGATACAGAGTGATATTTTGATACATGTATACAATATGAAATAATCTAATCAGAGTAATTAGCATATCTATCACCTTGTACATTTGTCATTTCCTTGTGATGTGAATATTCAGAATTCTGTCTGGTACGTTTTTAAAAAAATTCACTAAATTATTGTTAACTTAATTCACCCTACAGTGCTACAGAACAGTAGAGCTATTCCTCCCTTCTAGCTACAACTTTGTTACAAAGTTAACTTTGCTTACCAACCTCTTTCCATCCTCTTCTTATTCCCATCCTTTCCAGCCTCTGATAACTACAATTCTACTTGTTACTTTTATAAGTTCATTTTTACCTCCCACATATAAGTGAGAACATGTGGTTTTTCTCTCTCTGTGCCTGTCTTATTTCACTTAACGTAATGTCCTCCAGGCTCATCCACGTTGTAACTAATAACATGATTTCAATTCATTACAAAACTTAAAAGGATACTCAACAGTGCCAAACATTCTATTTTAGTTTCCCAATGCATTCACTCCCACAGCATTCATAACAATAACCTTCTACAAAGTTACCACATGTCTTATGCTAAATTGACAAGATCTCCCAATATTAAGTAAATTCTGTCCTTAGCTCTCCCTCTCATTTTAGTATTATCATTCTCATTAATGAATAATTCCCTTTTTGTTAAAAGTTTACATTGACCTACCGTTGTCCTTCAGTTATCAACTTACTTTGTATTCTTTCTTTGAAAGAAATCAATCAAACAATAGACAGTCTCCTTCAATATTTCCTGTACTGTCTTCAACCCACTTAGCTGAGTACTTTCTTTTTTCTCTACTTACTCACTTTTTCCCGCGTGTTCTCAAGCATTTTCATGGGTTTAAAGGCCAGTTACATGATAGCATCTCAGAATATTTCCAATTTTGGTATCTTCTCTGAGGTAGAGCTTTGCATAGTCATCTACTTACTTAATATCAAATGTGGATTGTTTTATAGACAACTGAAATTCATAATGTTTTAAGTAGAGTTTTGTTATTTTCTCTGCTTCCCAGTTTGTGTGTGTATGTTTGTTTGTTTACTTCAGCTGGTGTTCCCATTGATTTTATCTTATCTAATACACCAAAACCCTATCAGTAGCTGTTTTCTTCAAACTTGCACATATCTTAAATATGTATTTCATTATTTTGAACAAGGTCTCCACCTTCTTGTCCTTTCACTTTAATAGTTTTCTAATTCATTTCCTTGTGTTTATTCTTGTCCCAGTAAAAATTATTCTTGGTTTAAGAGGCAGAGATATATATGTATTATAAACACAGGGAAACAAATTAGATATAAACCAATTATTATAAACCAATGTAATAATAATAATATATATTACATTTTTTTCTTTTTTATTTCTTCTTTTTCTTTTTTATTTTTTGTAATGTAAGCAAGATTCTTTCCCTCCTTTGCCTTAAATCCTTTAGTTACTTGTGGAGTACAATTACAAATCTCCAGGATGCTAAAGCTCTGCTCTGCTGTCTACAATCAAAGGCACCATTCAAGACCCTCACTCCTAACGAGACAGGGCTCTTTCCACTCTTGAAACACAGTTTTTCCCCATGTCAGGGTTTTGCACAAGGTAACATCTTGTCTTTGAAGCTTCATAGTTTGGCTTGTTAATCAAATGGTTCCTTTTCCATATTTAAGTCATCACTTTACATTTCATTTTCTTGGAGAGGTCTTCGCATGACTCCAAGCTATCACCAGTTATGTGCTATTGTAGAACATGGTTTATCCAGAAATAGTGATAACTTTCATCACTATTGATCATTCTTTGGTTTTCTTTACATTTATTTTATATCTTAAACACTGTAATATAAAAGACCTCAGGGATGGACCATGAATTTTATATTTAGCACAATACTTCAGAAGATCCATACTATCCTTTTTCTTTTTTATTCATTTTATTTTAAAATTTTCATTTTGAACTACTTTAAAGCTTACAAAAATATATTTTAAAAAATCAAGAGTTCCTATATATTCTTCACCCAGCTTCTTGACTGCTAACACCAATCTAAGAGTACAGTTACTCACATTAGGAAATTGATATGGAATTAGTTACTTACCTACATATTTTGTTCATGGTTCCACTAATGTTTTTTAACTAGGATCAAAATCAGGGTCACATATTGCATTTATCTGCTACATTTCTTTAGTCTTCTTTATCTGGGTGCGGTGGCTCATGCCTGTAAGCCCAGCACTTTGGGAGGCCAAGGCGGGCGGATCACGAGGACAGGAGATAGAAACCATCCTGGCTAAAACGGTGAAACTCCGTCTCTACTAAAAATACAAAAAATTAGCTGGCGTGGTGGCGGGCACCTGTAGTCCTAGCTACTTGGGAGGCTGAGGCAGGAAAATGGCATGAACCCAGGAGGCGGAGCTTGCAGTGAGCAGAGATCATGCCTCTGCACTCCAGCCTTGGCAACAGTGCAAGACTCCATCTCAAAAAAAAAAAAATGTTAAAAAAGAAAATTCAGCTTTTCTTTTTGTCTTTCATGCCCTTGATACTTGTTTTTTGTAGATTATTCTGAAGTTTGATTTTTTTCTAATATTTCTTCATGGTTAAATTCACATAATATATTTTGGCAAGAATGCCACAATGCCGAGGTTGTCCTTCTCAGTGCATCATATCAGGAGGCACATGATATCATCGTGTCCTAATACTGTTGACGTTAACTCTGATCACTTGAATAAGATATTGTCTGCCACATTTCTCCACTTCAAAGTTACCATTTTTAAAATCAGTATTTTGTTGAGAGATACTTGGAGATTATGTAAATATCTTGTTTCTCATAATTGTATCCACTAATTTTAGCAGACTTGTCTGCAACAATTATATGGTATTTGCCAAGAAATGAGAATCTATTTCCACTATTCTTTCTATATTTATTGATTAGAATTCTACTGTATGGAAAAGCTTTCCTTTGTCCCACTTTTCTTATTTATCCAATTATTTATTTATATTAGTGTGGATTCATGTGTATTTGGTTTAATTAATCTGAATAATCTATTGCCATCATTATTTATTCCCTTGCTCAATTTATCTCAGTTTGTGTCACTGAGAGCCACTTCTAGTTAGCTCCTATGTTCTTTGGCATGTCTCCATCATTAGTTGAGACTTCCTTATTTTCTTAACAACAACAGATGTCTCAGACCCATTTTGTTCTTTCTGCCGCATGCACCTAGAATCAGGCATTGATCCAAGCAGCTCTGTATCCTTTTAACGAAGAAAAAAGTGAATCCAAGATTTGAATGCTAGATGTGCTGATTGCTATTAAAATGTTATTGCTTCTAGTCTTAGTGGTTAAAATTAAGAAATATACACACATTCGGCCGGGCGCTGTGGCTCACACCTGTAATCCCAGCACTTTGGGAGGCCAAGATGGGCGGATTATGAGGTCAGAAGATTGAGACCATCCTGGCTAACACGGTGAAACCCCGTCTCTACTAAAAATACAAAAACATTAGCTGGGCGTGGTGGCAGGTGCCTGTAGTCCCAGCTACTTGGGAGACTGAGGCAGGAGAATGGCATGAATCCAGGAGGCAGAGCTTGCAGTGAGCCAAGATCAGGCCACTGCACTCCAAGCTGGGTGACAGAGAAAGACTCCATCTCAAAAAAAAAAAAAAATATATATATATATATACACATTCACACACAAACATGTGCATCTAGGTCTATTTATATATCTACACATTCTTTTCAATTTCTATCTAACGTAGAAAAAAAGTAAACTTAAGTATATATTGATAGTTTTGATTCTGATTGAACACCATAAGTGTTATTCTAGTCTCCACTCCCCTTCATTTCTAAATTCTTTTTCTAAAACAGAATCACTTAGTTTTGTTTTAGTTAATATACTTAATATAATCATTTGCTTTTTATTTTTATTTTTTTAAATTTCAACTTTTAGATTTGAGGATATATGTGAGGGTTTGTTACAGAGTATACTGCATGATGCTGAGGTTTGGGGTATGACTGAACCCATCATCCAGGTAGTGAGCATAGAACCCAAGAGGTATTTTCTATGGCACTTTACACATTCTAGAAAACTGGTTGTTAATTAGCACAAGCACCTATAATAGTGCCTGATATATTTAATACTCAAAATATATGTTAAATTAAAAACAAATGTATAAATTAATGGTTGACTATCATAATAATTACTCAAAATGTAACATAATTCCAAAGGAGAAAACTTTTTTCTAAAAAGGCTCTCTCAATTGCTCTTTCTGATTTATTATTTTCCCCAAATCTGTAGTTGCTTCATTATTGTTTGGAATTTTGCATTAGTTGTCAACAAACAAAAAATATGGATCATACCACAGCTCTTTCATTGCTTTCATTTCTTGAGATATATGAATGTATGTGATATCTTTGATGTCCTGTATTTTATCTTTATTGCTTTTTGTTACTTAAGAACATCTAGAAAAGAAGATAAATATTAATCATGTCAGAAATTATCAAAGGTTGATTACAATAAAAATTTCTCTAATGTGATAACCACTCAAAAACTTCCTTCTTCATCAAAACACAGTATTTTTTAAAAAATAGAGTGCTTCATTTTTATTTCACAGAAAATAATCAAATGATAGCCAGAATATTATGAACTAGAGTCACATAGGCTATTCTAATAATACTTTTTGTGAAAGAAGTATTGAGGAGGTCTTAGGACCAAAGAATATTTGTTTAATAGTGTCAGAATTCATTTTAACACCATAAAAAGGATATGTATTTGTTCAATTTCACTCACTGCACAAAGAATTAGATAAAAGAAGATTTTCAGTAATAGCATTCATTTTGAGTCTTACCAATCCTTTCAGTTTTGGTATAACAAAAAGGCTATTAGCTTTTACTCTGTTGTGTTGAATTTTGATGATTTCTGACAGTCTTCACTGAGATGCTCAAAGAGATGAGACTTGCCAGTCGAATAACTTAAGATCTCATTAAATTTACCAGCAACATAAAAGCTATTTCTGCCTCTTAACTTTTTGATGTGTTGCCTTTTTCTAATCCTCTTCTCAGGACCTATTTGAAAGACAATAAAAATTTTGTTTTTGTGTGTTGAAAGATTTCTCCATTATCAAGAGAGTAGTCAGTTCTTAACTTTAGAATGATTGTATATATAGATATGAAAAATAAGGAAACAATTATTAAGAAAACTAATCAAATTTTTTACTAACATTTAGTAATTTTAACAAAATTATTGTACATTGTATTTTGCAGCATTTATGCAGAGGATATACTAACCTGTTTAAATTTTTAGACACAAATAGTAGAAAATAGAACATCATCATTTTCAGGAGCAAGGAAGTAACCTGTGAAAAAGTGAATGCCTTTCTTCAAATAATATGCTAATGAAAGGCTGAGATATTAATGTCCAAATATTATAAAACGTTCATTTTAATATAATGTTTTACTTTATATTTATATTGTATTGTATAACAAAGAAATGTGAGTCTTCTTACACCTGAGAACTTGAACTGGCAATCTACATATTGTTGTTGAAACAATTTTAAATTAAAAATACAATGAGAGGGAAAAATGATTCTGTTGCCTCAATTTTAAAAGGAATATTTTGAAGAAATAATTTTCCATATAATAGCTTGTTATGATCTTGCCTTTTAGCCTCCCTGGATAAAGAAAAGCATACTTATAATAATTGAAGGAAGACAATTTTCCTTGTTTTCTGCAAATTAGAAATATATTAGGCTATTAAATACATAATTCAAAATATACAGAATAAAGGTATTATAGAACCTAAGAATTATATAAAGAATTATATACATAAAGTAATGAATACATATACAAATAGTATAAAAATACTAAAAATAGTATTTGCTTATTGATTAATTACTATGGGTATTATATAACTCTTAGTTTCTACATTGCCTTTCTATTCTTAGTTATTATAATAGGTATATTATAATTACTAATACGTATAAACTACTTATAGTTTATATGAATGTGTTATATGTACATGTATATTATAATAACTAATACCGATAAACTATTTACAATTATACATATTATAATAACTAATAAATATAAACTACTTATTGTCAAAACTGTTTTTAACTATTAAAAGATAAAGCACACAGATATGTTTTCTTTACTAGGTATTCCCAGAAGCACTCATAAAACTCGGAGTTTTCATATAGCAGTGATTACAGACTTGCTATTTTTATTATTCCCATTTCATAGATTAAGAGCACAAGACTCATTTTAGTGTTATTTAGCCATGTCACAGAGCCAGTTCCCAGATATTTTTTCCACTTGTTTTGTCATGAAGAATGAGAAGTAGAATCAGCATCAAGTTTGTGCTAAACAAGTACAATAATAAGAAAGCACAGCAAATGCTGACTAGACTGTAAGAATATTTTTGCTTTTAGGCTACCCAAAAAAGATAAGATATATGAGGTGATCAAAGTGAATAATTATATAAACAAGAGGAATTAGAATATGAATAAGCCAGGAAAAATAGGAATAGTCCAAAAAAACACACACACCCATTTCTTATTTAAACTTAAAAGGAGACAAATTCATTCAATCTATATATATTTATTTTGCTACCTCAATAGAGATAAATATCTTCTCTAAGAAAAATCCCACTTTACTTAATATGTATCACATTTACCTAACAAGTAACATATTACTAAAACAGAGAGCAACCAGTGTTTTACTCTTTTTTTTTTCAGAGATTTTTTGCTCTTGTTGCCCAAGTTGGAGTGCAATGGCATGATCTCGGCTCACTGCAACCTCCACCTCCCAGGTTCAAGCAATTCTCCTGCCTCAGCCTGCCAAGTAGCTGGGCTTACAGGCATGCACCAACATGCCTGGCTAATTTTTGTGTTTTTTTTTTAATAGACACGGGATTTCACCATGTTGGTCAGGCTAGTCTCGAACACCTGACCTCAAGTGATCCACCCGCCTCGGCCTCCCAAAGTGCTGGGATTATAGGCATGAGACTTTGCGCCTGGCCTCATTTATTTTCATATAAAATATAGGGTCAAGTATGTTGAGATATTAATTACGCTATATTTTGCTCAGTATTGCCTGAGAGTTGGATTATTATTTTTTTTTTTTTTGAGACGGAGTCTCGCTCTGTCGCCCAGGCTGGAGTACAGTGGCGGGATCTCGGCTCACTGCAAGCTCCGCCTCCCGGGTTCACGCCATTCTCCTGCCTCAGCCTCCCAAGTAGCTGGGACTACAGGCTCCCGCCACTACGCCCGGCTAATTTTTTTGTATTTTTAGTAGAGACGGGGTTTCACCGTTTTAGCCGGGATGGTCTCGATCCCCTGACCTCGTGATCCGCCCGCCTCGGCCTCCCAAAGTGCTGGGATTACAGGCGTGAGCCACCGCGCCCGGCCGGATTATTTTATCATTGTAGAGAATAGCTTCTAGGTTATGAGAATATTAAATAAAATAAACTGGAGAGACTCTCAGCAGCAAACTATGGTATGTAAGTATATAGGTAAATATGTATCTATCTATCTATTTATCTATCTAATCTAGCCTATCTATCTATCTATCACCTATCTATCCATCTATCTATCTATCTCCTTTTCTTTCATTTATGTCTGGATCTGTACCAAACACCAGGCAGAGGAGTTAGGAGAAGTAACTGAAAAACCCATGGGTGACATCACCAACTAAAACAGGTGACAAATAATCAGCATAAAACCCAGGATACAAGAGTAATTGTCCTAATCATTGGCAGCATAGGGCCAGTACCAGCTGGACTTAATGGCAAAGATAAAATGAAGATAAAAGGAAGTATTGTAAGATCTTAATATCAATAAACTACAACAAGAAATCATCAATAATGCTCACTCCCAAAAGAAAAATACTTACCCTGAAGAAAAACAACTGGAACAAAATCAAAATTAATCAGAGAATCAGATAATCTGAGACAAGTAAGATAATTTTTAGAAAATAGTTTTTAGAAAAAAAAAATTTGAAGGTACATAAAATCAAATAGAAGTGGTACGAACTATAGTAAGAGATATAGAGTATAAAAATAAGAGTAAAAAACAGAAATTGAGAGATTAAAAACATCTAAAAATTTTCTAAACATAGAACTTAGGCAAAGAATAGTAATACCCATGTAACGGTTATTTCTAAGAACAAAAATTAAAATAAAAAATAATATTAATTATTTGAGCATGAAGGTAAAAGGATAAGAAGTTTATATTGATAATAGACTTCTTGATAGCAACATTTTATACAAGATGATAATCAAGAAATGGTTTAATGATTATGAAACAGATAACACAGTAGCGAGATGAGATTTTATTCAACCAAACTATGAATCATGTCTAAGGAATGTAGAACATCATGAATATTTATGATTTTAAGAAACATTGTTCCTGTGATGGCTTTTTTAGAAATGTCCTACCTACTGACAAGAAGACAAACATCATGTGAAGCTTCTGGATAAGGACTAAATATGTTTAATTTTATAATTAAGAACAAGTAATGGGGATTAAAGTGACAAAACATGATGCTATTAAGTGTGTTAAACATGAAGAAATAATGCAACTCAACAACAAATGGAAAAAAGGAGAAGAAAAAGAAAGTAGACGAATCTTAATGACTATCTCAGGAGTATCTAACTGCCATTAAAAAAATATGGAATTAAAGTAAATGTTAAGCAAAAAGAGAGAAGAAAGGAAAGAAAGTTTACTAGAATACAGTATTACTACTCATTGAAGAAATCAATAGACAGTATTCAAACACACTAGAGGACTAGTATATTTTATTATAATATTATTATAAGATAATAATAAGAATAAACATAGAAACATTTATAAATACCAAATGAGTATATCCTGCCCCTCAAATTAAAGTGTAAATACAGGGCAAGATTTTATATAAATTATTTATATAGCAAAAACTTATATAACAGAACTTAACACCAGCATAACAGGTATATCAAAGACACAAATGGGCTTAACTCACCATTAAATGGCATACTTTTAGATTGGCTAATGGAGCAGAATCCAATCTATTCTGTGTGCAAGAAACATATTGAACAAGGCAATTCAGAATGGTTTAATGTAAAAGGAAGAGCAAAGATAGATCTTGTATGATAGCAAGATCCTGAAATAGTTGTCAGAATTTTGCTATGAGACAAGATAGAATTTAAGACAAAATAAATTTAACAGGATAAGGAAGGGAAATTTATTCTACAGAAGGATTCATGCTTCATTCTACATTAAAAATAAAATATATATTAATAACATACACAAAATTACAATTTTCATAAAGCAGAAAGAAGAAATAGACATTAAAACTGGAGATTTTAACATAGCTTATTAATTGGTAAGTCCTTGAAGAATGCAAATAAGCCTCACTTTTACTAATTAAAAAAAATTAACACAAATACTGACAAAGACTCTCTCCTTCATCAAACTTTAGTCAGATTTTTGAGCTCTCCTCTCAACTAGATCTTCACCTAGGCCCCTTGCCTAGTCTCCATAGCTCACTTTTAACAAGAATCCTTAAGTCCATATAGACAGAATCTTGATATCTGATCACCCTGAGCTGCCTTCAGCAAGAATCCTGTTAATTTGGTTTAGCAAGAGTTCCCCTACTTTTGATGTCTCCTCTTAGTAATTTTCCATCCACTGACCCCCTCACACTGCTCTTTTGCTATAAATTTCCATGTGTGCTTGTATTTGGAATTGAGCTCCTTTCTCTACTAAAGTCTCTTTTCCTGTGTTGCAATAATTTCTGAATAAAATCTTTCTTTACTGCTTTAATTACCCTCTGGCTCTGGTTCTCTTTGACATTACTCTTTGAAGAATCACTTTAGGGGAAAAGAATAAATGCAAGAAGACAAAGGCAGAGACTATTATCCAAATATAGAATGGAGATAATGATATCATACTGAATGGGCAAAAACTGGAAGCATTCCCTTTGAAAACTGGCACAAGACAGGGATGCCCTCTTTCACCACTCATATTCAACATAGTGTTGGAAGTTCTGGCCAGGGTAATTAGGCAGGGGAAGGAAATAAAGGGTATTCAATTAGGAAAAGAGGAAATCAAATTGTCCCTGTTTGCAGATGACATGATTGTATATCTAGAAAACTCCATTGTCTCAGCCCAAAATCTCCTTAAGCTGATAAGCAACTTCAGCAAAGTCTCAGGATACAAAATCAATGTACAAAAATCACAAGCATTCTTATACACCAATAACAGACTGACAGAGAGCCAAATCATGAGTGAACTCCCATTCACAATTCCTTCAAAGAGAATAAAATACCTAGGAATCCAACTTACAAGGGATGTGAAGGACCTCTTCAGGGAGAACTACAAACCGCTGCTCAATGAAATAAAAGAGGATACAAACAAATGAAAGAACATTCCATGCTCATGGGTAGGAAGAATCAATATTGTGAAAATGGCCATACTGCCCAAGGTAATTTATAGATTCAATGCCATCCCCATCAAGCTACCAATGACTTTCTTCACAGAATTGGAAAAAACTACTTTAAAGTTCATATGAAACCAAAAAAGAGCCCGCATTGCCAAGTCAATGCTAAGCCAAAAGAACAAAGCTGGAGGCATCATGCTACCTGACTTCAAACTATACTACAAGGCTACAGTAACCAAAACAGCATGGTACTGGTACCAAAACAGACATATAGATCAATGTAACAGAACAGAGCCTTCCGAAATAATGCCGCATATCTACAACTATCTGATCTTTGACAAACCTGAGAAAAACAAGAAATGGGGAAAGGATTCCCTATTTAATAAATGGTGCTGGGAAAACTGGCTAGCCATATGTAGAAAGCTGAAACTGGATCCCTTCCTTACACCTTATACAAAAATCAATTCAAGATGGATTAAGGACTTAAACGTTAGACCTAAAACCATAAAAACCCTAGAAGAAAACCTAGGCATTACCATTCAGGACACAGGCATGGGCAAGGACTTCATGTCTAAAACACCAAAAGCAATGGCAACAAAATCCAAAATTGACAAATGGGATCTAATTAAACTAAGGAGTTCTGCACAGCAAAAGAAACTACCATCAGAGTGAACAGGCAACCTACAGAATGGGAGAAAATTTTCGCAACCTACTCATCTGTCAAAGGGCTAATAACCAGAATCTACAGTGAACTCAAACAAATTGACAAGAAAAAAACAAACAACCCCATCAAAAAGTGGGCAAAGGATATGAACAGACACTTCTCAAAAGAAGACATTTATGCAGCCAAAAAACACATGAAAAAATGCTCACCATCACTGGCCATCAGAGAAATGCAAATCAAAACCACAATGAGATACCATCTCACACCAGTTAGAGTGGCAATCATTAAAAAGTCAGGAAACAACAGGTGCTGGAGAGGATGTGGAGAAATAGGAACACTTTTACACTGCTGGTGGGACTGTAAACTAGTTCAACCACTGTGGAAGTCAGTGTGGCGATTCCTCAGGGATCTAGAACTAGAAATACCATTTGACCCAGCCATCCCATTACTGGGTATATACCCAAAGAACTATAAATCATGCGGCTATGAAGACACATGCACACGTATGTTTACTGCGGCACTATTCACAATAGTAAAGACTTGGAACCAACCCAAATGTCCAACAATGATAGACTGGATTAAGAAAATGTGGCATATATACACCATGGAATACTATGCAGCCATAAAAAATGATGAGTTCATGTCCTTTGTAGGGACGTGGATGAAATTGGAAATCATCATTCTCAGTAAACTATCGCAAGAACAAAAAACCAAACACTGCATATTCTCACTCATAGGTGGGAATTGAACAATGAGAACACATGGACACAGGAAGGGGAACATCACACTCTGGGGACTGTGGTGGGGTGGGGGGAGGGGGAAGGGATAGCTTTAGGAGATACACCTAATGCTAATTGACGAGTTAATGGGTGCAGCACACCAACATGGCACATGTATACATATGTAACTAACCTGCACATTGTGCACATGTACCCTAAGACTTAAAGTATAATAATAATAATAAAAAATAAGGAATGGAGATAATGATGATGGTAATGTCTTGGATACTGATTGCAATGGACTGCATGTCTGTTGCCACCCTGTCTCTGAAACTTATAGGTGGAAATCCTAACCCTTAATATGATGGTATTAGGAGGTGGGACTTTCAGGAGGTGGTTACATCATGAGGTTGGAGCCCTTCTAAATGGAACTAGTTCCCCTATACAATAGACCCAAGAGAGTTCTCTCACTCTCTGGCATGTGAGGATACAAGAAGAAAATGGTAGTCTGCAACTTAGAAGAGAGATATCACTGAAACCTGGTCACTCTGGTACCATGGTCTCAGACTTCTAGCCTTTAGAACTGTGAAAAAATTGATTTTTGTTATTTCTAAGCCACCTAGTCTATAGGTCTTTGTGATAGCAGTCAGAATTGACTAAAACAGTAATAGTAGCAATGGCGATGGAAAGAGTGAATGCATTTGATATATACTTTGAAGAAAGAAATAACAGGACTATCAGTCATGTGGATGTTTGGCATGAGAGAAATGCAAGATGGTAATTAAACAACTTTGTGTCTAAGTCTGAAGGTTGGAGAATAGGCAAAGGTAAAAGTAAAGCTATGGGAGTTACCGACACTTATGAGCCCTTTAAAGGAATTATTTATTTTTATTGTTAAATCACCAAGGAAGGGTTGAAACAGACAATAGAAATTAATGCCAAATGAGCTGAAAAAAAAATGTGTTGCAATTAAGTTGGGAATAAAAAGCTGAGGTGGCAAGAAGAAAAGCAAGGTTGGTATATTTTTAAAGAACTCTATAATGAATAATGTTTTGAAGAGGAAGAAATTTTCAACAATTTGAAATGCTGCTGAGACTTTGGGAAATGTGAATGGTGCCCACGTAGAAGTTATTGACAGTCATTGAAACAACACTCCCTTTAGCATTATGTATAAGAAACTAGATTAGAATGAAACAAATGGATTCTTAATTCCAGAATTGTGGAGAAATAGAAAATCTAAAAACTTATTGGAAACACAAGAAATGCAACATGAACTACAATAACCATCCATTTCAATAAAATTAGAGGATTTCAGGTTCAGGTCATGATAAAGTAGCACAAACTCACACCCTGAAGTTGGCTATAAAAGCTGGGCAAAATATGTTAGACAATTATTGGAAGACACGGGAGAACAATCAATGTATACAGAGCTTGAGTGGGATTATTATTAAAAAGAAATAATTATAGACTATAAATTACATTCACTCAGACGTTTTTCCTCTAATAACATTTCCCAAATAGTGATGTGAAGAAAGAAAGCATATACAGAAAGTGAAATTTTACTGTGTTGAGGTGACAGAGATTAGAGTTCAGAGTATCTAGTGTGTATGGGGCTCATGAGACAAATTTCCAAGAAGGAGGTAACCACAGAGAGAGAGCCTGAATATCTGCATACAAATGTCCCTTAAGTGTGGCCAGTATCAAAGATATGTATGCACAAGGTGAGACGTCAAGAAGCCTAGCAGAAATCAATAAATGGGAGGTTGGAGTGCTGAGTTTAGATTTCAGCTAGTGGTTTAGAGAAGAAAGAGGTTGTGGTTCAAACACTGGTAATTACAGAGGATGAGATGGGAGTGAGAAACTATATGGCTAAATGTGGTCATTCTTCAGGTTTTAGCTTTTATGCAGGGTGCTATATGCTGGTTGCTTCCAACACTGAAAAAGTTATTATTTAATTACCTACATATAAAAGATGACCATGAATAGGCATAAGATGAAAGTATGTCATTAATCAAAATGATGATTAATTCAATTCTCTATAATTGAGATTCAATTAAAAAGAATATTATTCATCACATTCACAGAGTAAATGAGAAAAATCACATAATTTCAGTAGATGCAGATACGTTAAGATCTGTATCCTAACAGATATTGATACAAAGAAGTATTTGATAAAATTCATCATTAATTTACTGTATATATATATGCTCTTATTAAACTAGGATTTAAAAGGCACTTAATTAAGTTGATAAAGTGTATCTTTTGAAATCCTATAAACAATATGTTATGACATAATAATGTGGGAATGTTAGAAGACTTGCTTTTAAACCTGGGAACAAGAAGAGATTCTCTGTTATTTTCCTATGCTGCTGTAACAAATTGCCACAAAATGGGTAGCTTAAAGCAACACAGACTTTTTCTCTTATACTTCTGAAGGCCAAAAATTCATAATCAGTATCAGTGGTCTAAAACCAAGGTGTGATCAGCACCCTATTTTTTCCAGAGAACTCAGGGGAGAGTAATTCTAGAAATTATTCCAGAAACGCAGCTTCTAGAACTACATTTCTTGTCTCATAGGCCCCTTCTTCTATCTTCAAAGATAGCAGCGTATAATTTTCAAATATTTCTCCACTTCCATGATCACATAACCTAGATTCTATGTCAAATCTCCCTCTCCCTCACTCTTATAAGGACACTTAAGATTGCATTTAGAGCCCACCAAGATAATTCATGATAATCTTCCATCACAAAATTCTTCACTTATTCACATCTGCAAGTCTCTTTGCCATAAAGGTTACATTTACAGGTACTAAGGATTAAGACCTGACATCTCTTGAGGCCATTATTCACCCTAACACAGATGTCCTCTCTTGCTGCTTGTTTTACACATTGTACTTTTCTGAATACTTTTGAGAAAGTTTGCTCTAAAGAAGAAAAAAAAGTAGTTCTATATTTGTGAGACATGTAGACTGAGGAGAATGACTATTTTTCTAATGTGATATATAAAAGCACATTTATGTGACAATAGCAATAATAGAGAAGATAAAGTTATGCAGAAGGGAGAAGATTTGACAATAGCAAGCATGAAAGTCCTGCAGGAGAAAAGTTTGGATGGGATACTGAATAAAATTGTAATATTACTTTTTGATGCATACGTTCACACCATTTTTTCACAATGCTTCCTAGATTGCTCTGTATTTCTTTCCCATCTATATATATATACGCATATATATATACACATATATATACACATATATATACACACACATATATATACACACATATATACACACATATATATACACATATATACACACATATATACACACACATATATACACACACACATATATATACACATATATATACACCTATATATACACACATATATATACACATACACACATATATATACACATTTTGACTGAAAATGATTGACTAGGATGAAAGAAAATGAGAAAGAAAAACGGAACAAGGAATTCTCAATTATATAAATAGAATATTATAATTAGTAAACCATGAATAAAAGAAGGCATATGGGCTGGGCGCGGTGGCTCACGCTTCTAATCCCAGCACTTTGGGAGGCCGAGGTGGGCGGTTATGAAGTCAGGAGATTGAGACCATTCTGGCTAACAGGGTGAAACCCTGTCTCTACTAAAAATAGGAAAAATTAGTCAGGCGTGGTGATGGGCACCTGTAGTGCCAGCTAGTCGGGCGGAGGCTGAGGCAGGAGAATGGCGTGAACCCGGGAGGCAGAGCTTGCAGTGAGCCGAGATCGTGCCACTGCACTCCAGCCTGGGCGACAGAGCGAGATTCCATCTCAGAAAAAAGAAAAAAAAAGGAATACTTGATAAAAAAGGTATCCATATATCAGATAAGAAGATGTAAAATTTATGTGCTATCTACTTCTGGAATTTCCACCATAAGGGAATAATAATGACGTAGGGGTTCACTTAAAGGACAGAACTTGTACTTGGTTACTTATGTACACAATCTCTGCCTTACTTGCTTTTGGTGGATCGTATTGTGTCATTTCAATGTGGCCATTATTGTCTTTTATGAACATATACAATAAAGTAATATACCTTTACATAATGTCTACATCTCTACTGTAATTTAAACTTTAATGGCTCAAAAATGCTAAATTACAAAATAGAGAAAGATGTGTGTTAAATGCAGATTAATATAATTTAAATAATATTATATATGATAAGGGTTTGTAAAACTTAACTATTAAGATGGATAGATGAGAAAGATAGAAACCTAGAATACAATACTAGAAAATCTAGAAACATAGTAGAGATGAGTTCAATAATTCAATTCTATATAAGAGGTCATCAAACTACAAAGCACAGAGCTAATCAGGCCACTGATGCATTTTGGTAAACAAAGTTTTATTAGAATAAAGTGACATCCTTTTATTTTACTTATTGTTTATGGATACTTATGCACTACGATGGCAAATACTGGTACTTGTGACAGAGATCACATGGCACGTACATTCTAAAATACTTAATAGTTGGCCCTTCACGAAAGGTTTTGAGAGCTACTGCTCTAGGAAATCTCAGGTTCAATGTCAGTTATGAATCAGCTTTGCTTAGCATAGCCATGTTTGAAATCCTTTCCAATGACAATAATTGTTACTGCCTCTAGACAGAAGAGTCCAATTATTTTAAGGTTTCATTATTAGGAATGGTTCATTTAATTAAGCCATAGTTGTTACTTCAAGTATAATTAATTAGTGAAGGTATATTGCTTTTATGGGATATAATTAATAGGAGAATAGGTTACTGCTCTGTGGCATAGTTAGAATTTAAATGCTGTGGCTTTATAGAATTTAAAGGTAGGGTCTGTTTATTATGAATTATGCCTCCCATCATCTAGCTCATGTGAGGTAGTTCTGGAATAGCACATTATTTATGTTTGCTGATAATTTATTTTAGATATAATGGTTGGTTAGGAAGGAGTTCATGGTGAAGAAGGTAGATGTCACAAAAACATGCCTGAAATGGTGATGGAGAAGACGAATCCGTGTATTTATTCATTTAATAAGTTATGTTGTCATTCAAGCAAATAAAAATAGTCTTTACTCTGAACATTCATATAAAATATCTGTTGTATAATTAATCGTGTGCTTCTGAATAAAATAGATGAAAGCATAGTTTGCATCATAAGCATTAATTCATTAAAATTTACCCTGAACATTGTTATTTGGTTTTATTAGCAAGAAATATAGCACTTGGAATGGTTTTAGTAAACCATACATGTGAAGAACTCTAGATCATAAAGAACCTAAAATACAGAATTTTCAGCATTATTATAATCTATTTAATTATACATTCAGGTTTATTTGTTACTGAAACTTAGTAACTTGATTTTGGGAGTTTTATATCGCTTCTGTGTCTTGTTTGTTTGCACAAGTTTGTTTATGGTGAAGTGCAAAGTATTTTAGTAAAAGGGATTTGAGCCACAGATGACAAATAATTACAGGAACATATAACATAAACTACACTTGGACTTTAAAGCAGGTTTAGATTATATTACTTTGGTTATTATTCTTTGTTTTCAAAAGGGAATGATGGGTTATAGCTTTATGCCCAAATATTTAGGCAAAACACGACAAAAGAAGGGTGAAGAGACCTTTTATCTAATGGACAAAGTAGAAGGTAGCACTCATAAAATATACTGTTTTGTGTAATAAGTGAATGGAATCTTTACACAATTTTTTGCTAGGGTTAATTGTTTAGGAAACTTTTCTAATTGGCAACTACTTCATAGAAAAACTTGATCCAGACCTATATGTGGAACTTCCCTTTATATTAACTTGCTGAAATTATTAAAGTTAAAAGCTTGTTTTTCCAGGTTGATACTCTCAAGACCTACAAAGACCAGCACATTGAAGCAATCAGTTGATTACCATCATGATGCCTGCGTATGTTTATTTCATGTCAGACACACCTGAGGTCTGTAATTGAATACATAAAGAGTGCAACCATGGAAGAAACAAGGTTGGCTTGTGGTGCTCCTATGGCAGCATCAACACAACTTCAAGTGCACCATGAGCATGAGCACTGCCAAGAAAATATATTGGCTCTCAACTCTCAGAATACTGCCATGTCTAGAACTTTTGGCCTTGCCAACCACTGGGCAGTAAGAGACAGTAACAAATCACAGCAGATACTGTTTCCTTAGAGCAATTAAATTACATCAGAAAAACTAAGCTGAGTGATAACAAAACAATTTCTAAATGTCAGGAGCCTATATCAATTCATTCATAAGTTGCTCATTTCACATGTCCTTGGTGTTGCTTATGATTCTACTCATGGGTCATTGTCACCTTTATACCAGGATCTAGAGGACAAAGCAGCCACTCCAGAACATTGAAAGTTACTGTAGTCGAGGAAAAAAAGAATGTTGTGAGGCACGCTCTGAATTTTTGCCTCTAGAAGGAAACAGACACTTTAGTCTACTAACATTTCAATAAGCAAAAGGAAATCACATTCCATAACTGAATTAAACAGGGCAGTGAGCTATATCCTACCATGTGTGTGAAGAAGCCAAAAAATATGTAAGCAATCCTAATGTTTATCACCTTAAATTTATCCATGCATGCTACTGTGGTCACTTTCACTGTAAAAGCAGTCATTGCAGAATCATCACCAGTATCTCAGTATATTAGTCAGGGCAATTAATATTAGTTTCTGAACCAAACTGCAAATATCTGTGACTTAACACAATTTTTTTTCTTCTCATTCATATAATAATTCAGTAGAGGATTAACTTTCTGAAATTCCTTAAACGTTTTCACAGAATACTCTGCATTTAATATAAAGAGGAGTATGAGAAGCATTGCATGAGGTATCTTATAGCTCAGTCTAAAAGTGGGAAATATAACTTCTACCTACATTTCATTCACCAGTGAAATGGTCTCATCCTACCTGCAATTGAGGCTGAAAAATACAGCATTTTCTTGTGGTCCAAAGAAGGAAATAATGTTACCTCACCAATCTCTGTCAAGGTCAGTCCTTCTGATGCCAAAATACCTGCTTTAATCTTCCTCCCATTATAAAACACACTGACTTCTCTCAAAATGAAAAATGCAGAGTTCTTTCAAGGTCTGGCATCCAGCTCAAAATGTAGTATCTCTGGCCACTCATAATTCTCCCAGTGAAGTCCAGATAAGGTCCTCATTTCTCAGTAAAATCTAAACTTAAAAGAATAAATATGTGTCCTGTGTACAAATATGCAATGGTGAAGTGGGAACAAGGTGGCAGCAATAAATACATCTCTATCACCACAGTCATTTGTTCTTGACTATTTGCAAATCATTTCAGGAAGACATGGTGAAACATCCTACACTGTGAGTGGCAGAACCCCATGTGCACTGCAATCTCATTTCCTACCCTCCAGAGGAGTATATAAACTTTTCCTACATAAATAATGGCCACATTTTTGTATCGATACATTGTAAGTTCTAAGATGTGTGTGTTTTTTTTAAGAAGAATTAAAATAGAAAAGCATATACCTAAAAGATGTTCCTCGGGATATATCTGCATATATTCTCTACTCTTGTCATTTTAAATAAAAATACAGTGGTCCCTTGATATCCTCAAGAGATTGGGTCCAGGACCCCAGAGGATACCAAAATCAGCACATATTCAAGTAATCCTGTGGAACCAGAGTATACAAAAAGTCAGTCCTCCATATCTGCGGGTTTTTCATCCTGTGGCTACTGTATTTTGATCCACATTTCAATGCAGATGCTGATTTTTTTTAATTAAAAGAATCTCTATATAAGGGGATGCACACAGCTCAAGCTCATGTTGTTCAAGTGTCAACCGTACTTTTTTATTTCTGTCCAATATAATTTAAATAACATAATTCTGTGAACTGCATGTCATTAATTACATATACTAAGAGGTGGCGTAACAATGTGTTTAAATTCCAAGAAATGGTGGCTAGCAAATTTAATTCTCATCTCTGCTCTGCCACAGACAAGTTCTGAAGTCTTGAGCAAATCATGAGTATCTATCTCTAGCTTACTCATCTTAAGAAGGAGCCAGTAAGTAGCAATTATCTTTCAGTGTTCTTATGAGAAGTAAATAACCTGTACACATCAATGCTCAGAACAGAGACTGCCATGTGGTATTATGTCCGGAGTTGGTTCCTGCCTGTGGGTTTGGTGGGTTCGTGGTCTCGCTGACTTCAAGAATGGAGTCATGGACCTTTCCCGTGTTACAGATCTTAAAGATCACGTGGACCCGACGAGTGAGCGGTAGCAAGGTTTATTGTGAAGAGCAAAAGGAGAAAGCTTCCACAGCATGGAAGGTGACACCAGCAGATTGCCGCTGCTGGCTGGGGGGTGGCCAGCTTTTATTCACGTATTGGCCCCTCCCATGTTCTATTTTTGTCCTATCAGAGTGCCCTTTTTTTCAATCCTCCCTGCAATTGGCTACTTTTAGGATCCTGCTGATTGGTGCATTTTACAGAGCGCTGATTGGTGCATTTTACAGAGCGCTGATTGGTGCATTTCACAATCCTCTTGCTAGCTACAGAGCACTGATTGGTGCATTTTACAATCCTCTTGCTAGACAAAAAAGTTCTCCAAGTCCCCACTCCACCTA
Source organism: Homo sapiens (assembly GCF_000001405.40). Classification (NCBI taxonomy): domain Eukaryota; kingdom Metazoa; phylum Chordata; class Mammalia; order Primates; family Hominidae; genus Homo; species Homo sapiens. The sequence goes on from NT_187374.1 coordinate 27,661, forward strand.
GGAAGTCCAGCGGGCTTCACCTCTCAGTATGTTCTGAATAAATTGGGCTATTAAATATGTGATATGAATTAATCAAGCAGAGAAAAAGTTACTAGTGACAGGGAAAAGGAGAAAATATGTATTCAATATTATTTTGTAAACAATTTATAAATATGCTGCACCTATGAGTTTCTTCTCAGTACCTTAGAAACTATAACACCATGGAAAATTTTGGATAGTTTAGGGAAGTGCATTATTTGGTAATGTGAAAAATAAGATGGTCGTGATAAAGCAACTTGGGAAAAAAGAAATGGCATGAATCTTGAGAACACGTACCTTCTGAGAATTTTCATGTTTAGAAAAGAGCAAGCTAAAAATCTGGAAGCGTATTTGTTCACAGGCAATTTTCAATTGGTCTCAGGCATTTCTGTGCATCTTGCAAATAGAAAGGCACTAGCTTCACATTTATTACAGGTTTTCCTTTTTAAAGATCTTTATATAGTGGATAGCCCTGGAAGATCAAGATATTGTTTATTTATGAATGAGAGAACAGATTTGTTTATTTTCAAGTAAAACGAAGATAGTGTTTCCTCCACAGAAAACATCAGACAGGTGTGCTTACTGCTCATTTATTAAAGATTTAAGTTTCCTTTACTTGGAGTTCTTCATCTATGACACAAACTGTGTGTAGCATCAACTTGAACTCCTTGTCATCATCTCCAGTAAACTTGAGGGAAAACAGGAACCAGAGCAAAGATGAAGCTCGTGCAACTCTGTGCTGTGCTGCAAATAATGGAAGTCTTTCTGTCTCTGACCAAACAGTTATGTGTCTTCTGCCAGCATCCATAAAACTGAAGCAGGCTAACTTGTAAGCTCAGATCCTTCACAGTTCTTGACAATAGTCCCTAAAACTGTCTGCAGATGCACATCCCTTGGAAAAATTTTGCATCCTTTTAAGAATAATTAATATCCTAGTTAATGACAACTATATGACAGGATAGATCACTTTAAGCTTCTACCCAGATTACTATAACTTTTAGGTAAATAATGTATATGCCACTTTTTCTAAGGTTATCTAGCCATTTTCGATGTAGAAAACAATATTGTGTAAGATAAGCTGAGCATATTTTTCACTTCGTTTTTGTTTTGCAAAACAATTTTATTGGTTTTGTTAATGCCCCAATCATCAGTACTGCTTGGTATAAGAGCCGAGTTTGAAGAATTATCATGTTGCAAATGTATTTTGTTCAGTTATTTCAAATTAGTAGACAGAATTGAGAGATGGAAAATTTTAGAAAAATCTTGGTTAATCATACTTGGAATTTGGTTATGTAATATCTCTTTCTCTTTTGGGGAATACAAAGGTTCATAAACTAGTGATAATCTTCACTCTTGGAACCATTAGATGCTATCATGATGTTAGCATAGAAGATAAATTTATAAGTTGCAGTGAGGTAAGGAAATAAAACATGTAAGTCTTTGAAAACAACACTATGACAGTCCTTGCAGGCTAAAACTTAGACACCAAAGCATTTTTTGTTACTTTTGGAGAATAAAAGAAGTGTGTCCCTCAATGTCTTGTGGGAGAAAATATATAGTTTGATACAATTGTCAATATCTCTAACTCAAAAATGATGAGTATAAGGAGTGACCCTTATTGTAGTCTTATATTTCTCTCCAACAATTAAGAGAGTTGGTGGGGATGTTTTTTCCATGAGTTCATCCCGGGCCCCAGGAGATTTTCATCTTGTATTCTCTTTATAATCCTATCTTAGTGTTTCATCCTCATGGCTAAGTTCAGCAATACTTCTGCATTCCAGACAGTAAAATGTGTAAGAAGAGATGTAAAAACAATCGGCTTTGCCTTTATGGAGATTAACTTAAATTTATGCTCATAATATAATTCATATTATATTTGATCAAAATTAATCACTGATAAGAGACTATAGAAGGTAATCTCCTGCTTGTGGTCATATGTACTTAGGATTCTATTACTAAACAAAATGAAAGAATGCATTATATGCACAATTAGTGGTCTCTAGTACAAAGAAATTACCAGGTCATTTCCAATTCTCAATATTAAAAAAAAGTTTATTTCTTACTGCACTATCAAATTGGAAAGGTCAGTACAGGGGCATTCAATAATAGTAAAAATATGAATAACAATCATGTATAACAACAGAATCATTTAAAAAGATGTATATTTAAAATGTGATTATTGCATTTTATTTCCCCTGGCAGAAAATAATAAACTGGAGAAAAATCACATTTGATTGATGTCTGTTACATGGATTTTTAAAATTTGTATCAATGAATGCTTTTTAAAGGTAAACTAATTGAGGCCTACCGAAGGTAAATAAATCTTTAGTTATTTTGGTAAATATATTTTACAGTTTCATTCTTTTTCAACTTAAGTTAGATAATAGGTACTATATTCTCTCCTAATGTAAATGTTTACGAGCATTGAAACTCCATCTGGAGAAAATAGAAACACTTTTAATTTAAATGACATTTGAAGAAGGAAATGTATAAATGTATTCAAAACTGTAAGTGAAAATGGGAAGGTCCTATTAAAAAAAAAAGAAAGGACAAACACTTTCCAATGACCTTTCTATAATATTAGCAAATTTATTATGATCTGTTATGAAAGACTGTTTTGCCTTCCTTGTTTCTACTGTCTCAACTCCCTAAGTACTAATTCAATTGAAAAGTAACTTCAGGTATGGGTCCATTTTAATGTCCCTCTACAAGATCTGCAGTGCCATTAATTACAATCATATAATCTTAGAGCCAAGGACCCTTAGAGATTATCTAATCCTATTCTATTAATGCATGATGAAATGGGCTTAGCAATCTGTCTAAGGTTACACAAATTCAAAAACACATAGAAAGTTTTCATAATCAAATTAAATTAAAAGTATAAAACAATGTCACTAATTTATGTATAAGAAAATATTAAATATCATTTTATATGAAGTGATTCTGATAATTTTAATGAGTTCATAACAATGCTTCTAAATATTTCAAAATTTTAGTTTATCATCCAAATATGATAATACTATACACTTTTATAAGTGAGTCTTCTACAGTGAAAATTACTAATTATAGGAAAGAGAAAATCATGGATAAATAGGGTTGTATCAAACTCTTAAAATGTACATGTGGAAATTTAAAAATATCCTCTTGCCAAGGGGATGTTGATGTCATTCCATAACAGGATTGACATGTGTAATTAAAACAAACAATAAAAATTAAGAATATATAAATAATATTTTAAATGCTTGAATTTGTTATTTATAATGAATATTGAAATTTATTTAGTGAGATAAAAGGTTAACAAATTCTTGAATATAATTATACTACTTTTATAATAAAATGCATCCAAGCTGAAATCTCACTTCTGTTGTCAATTGCTTTGATGGTTCTAGACTCATTTCCCTATTTTTGGTGAGTCATAAGATGGATGACGCACATGCTCAATAGCAGGTTATGTTCATGGCTAAGGTTTATCATAGCAAAAATTACAGAGCAAAACCAGTTCTATTCATATTTTTAATAAATAGTAAACTAATGATATCTTGTTATTCCTATGCTTTGTCTATCATACCTACACATAAATATAAGCACTGGTAAGTTCTGGTTCTAAACATAGCTTATATATGAATGCCATAATCATTCAATATGCATACATTAGCCTTGAATTTTGAAGATTAAAAATTGTTTGTAAAACTATCTAGAAAAAATTTATTATGATTACAGCCACTATTAGGTTTCAAAAGGGTTCATCAGAAATCTCTGAGGTATATAATGGGGAAAGAATATTTTGACTACCACTTTAACAGGTCTGCTATTTAATAATATTAGTTTCTTTTTAATTGATGTTTCATGGACATCCAGAATACTAGCTATAAAATCATATATGCTGCATAATGCAAGGAAAACAAAAGCACCTGTAAATATTACAGAAGACTATACATGTATGTATATCATTGCCATAAAATAACTATATACATATATGTATATACACACATAATTGTTTTCACAACCATGATATTATTACTTACAAAAGCATGCAAATTTAGGGAGATGGCTAAATAAGTTATGGCTTTTTCATAAATTGTAAGCCTATTCATTATAAAATATTATTGAGGATCAACTTTCATTTGTTCCCCAACAAATTATTGAGCATCTACTATGTATATTCTAGGCCCATTTCTAGGGACTGGGGAAAAAATAGTGAAAATAACATTCAGAATGTCTTGGCTTCACAGAGCTGTTGTTCCAGTGTTGGGAGAAAAACAGTAATTAATACCACAAAGTATCATGTGTTGTATGCCAGATGGTTTAAGTTCTATTCTAAAAAATGTGGCAAAGAAGGGGAATAGAGAGTTCTGGGCACAAGAGGTGCTGGATACTGAACAAGATGGTTGCTGAAAGCCTCACTGGGTGGTATCATCTGAATACAATGAGTGGTTATGAGAGAATGAGCCAAGAGCATAATTGAGAGAACATATTTTCAGGGAGCAGAAATAGCAAATGAGGCCTTGGTGTATGAACGCACCCATGAGGTTCCACTAAGGATGCCAATGTGATACAGCAGAGGAGATGAGGTCACACTCCATGGGGAGATGGTCACATAAAGCTTCTTAGAAAATGGTAAGAACTTTGTTTATTTAATTGGCAGCCATGAAGGGTTTTAAACAGAAAAGCAATCGCCTCTTTAAAGAATTAGCAGTAACAGTTTGACTGATCTGTGAAAATAGACCACAGCATAGCAAAAGAGAAAACAGGGAAATTAGTGAGGAAAGTATCATGTAAACTATTGCTGAAGCTGTTCTAAACTATAAACTATGTAAATTATAAATTGAAATTGTTCTATGCAAACAAGATATATTTGAACCCTGTATATTAGAGGCAAAAGTCCATGATATTGGCAATGTTTTGGCCTGAACTATGGGAGGAACAGAGTTGGAATTACTCACCTGGGTTTAAATTTGGGAGGAGCAAATTTGGGAATAGAGGATAGGAAAGATCAATAGTTTTATTTTTAACAGGCTTAATTTTAAATAGACAATCATATAATATATTTTAAATAAACTATTAATCATAAAATAATGTCAGGCTATATTTTAATACTCACCTATCAATTATAAATAAATAAAATGATAAGAAAATACATAAAAACCGCAATAGTTTTTGTAATTAGACAGTGGAGTTACTTGTGATTTTAATGATGTAGGAATTATTCAGTTTTTAAATAATAAATCTTTATTAATTTTATAATTATCAAAGATGCTATAAAAAGAAATAATTTTTTTATTACTATGCTACTGATGTATTTCCATTGCATTGACTAACAAAATTAATACTAGAATTTTCAAAAGTATCCACAGTGGTTACTTTATTTGCACTGTTAATTCAGCTCTTTTTAAGTATGCCTTCTCGTTCCCTAATTGATATAATTCAGAGACTACACTTGGACACAATTTAATGAATAAGCAAATTAGGTCCAGTTATTCCAATATGAAATTCCTTTTAATTATGGGCTACTTTTGGAGATGTAGAATAATTTGAATGTTTAATTTGGTGACTCAGTATGACCTACTTCACATTGTTTTATGAGTGGGTGAAAAATATAAGTGCTAGGAAATGTGTACCAGAAATAATTTGTCATCTAATTACATTTCAGAACATTATACCTCCTCAAAGCCTTGTTTCGGCATATATCTCATTTTAAAAATCTATGTTGCATATATGTTTACTTCTTTAAAATTTTAAAAATGTTTGTGGCATTCACATAAAATACAGAAGAGACTAGCAATAAGTGACATACATGTACTTCAGGACCTGAAAATTTATATGACTATATTTTTTTCTTTCCTTAAAAAGAATATATTCAAATACATCATGAGAAAAATGTATAGCTTTATAGTTAGGATAAACCTTTAATTCAAGTGCTGTTACTTGAATTAAGGATGCACAAGCCCCGGACTCTACTCCACAAACCCCACCCGCTCTTCTCACCACATAAATACCTAGGGAGAGGGATCTGTCTGAAGGAACCTTTCCCACAACAGCCTTTATTCAAAATGACACACCTGCCACTTTCTTGATGCCTACTCTTGTACTCCAACTGCAGTGTGATTCATTACACACAGTTTGCTTGTATGTTATATGACAGTGATTACATCAAGGATTTGGGTACTAGCTAACTGAACTGATATATTTGAAAGTACTTTATAAAACAGAAAGTGCTGAACAACCATTAAGTATACAGAATGATTTGGCAACAATCATATGTAGTACCATATTTTCTGAAATATCTATTTCTTAAAAAACAAGTTTCATTAAGTATATTATTTGCTGAATAATCTCTCAAAGGTCATGTTTTCATATAGCTACTATTATTGCATTTTGAAATCAAACATTATTTTCTTTGCCATTTCAGAGAAGCCCTTGGTAATCCAGCCCGCAAGTGCAATTCATGCGCATGGCTCTAAAGAGAAATGGGCAAACAAAAAGAAGATTAACTACACATTCAATAATCATTTATTTATTTTCTTAGAGATATCTACAGTAGCTCTCTCTTATCCTTATTTTAATAAATGCTGACGTACAGAATTAGTGAGATTTTTGGTAATAATATTTTTTTTTTGAGGCAGAGTCTTGCTCTGCCAACCAGGTTGAAGTGCAGTGGTGCAATCTCCACTCCCTGCAACCTCCACCTCCTGGGTTTAAGCGATTCTCCTGCCTCAGCCTCCTGAGTAGCTGACAGGTGCGCACCACCACGCCCTGGCTAATTTTTTTGCATTTTTAGTAGAGATGGAGTTTCACCATGTTGGCCAGGCTGGTCTCACTCCTGACCTCAAGTGATCTGCCTGCCTCGGCCTCCCAGAGTGCTGGGATTACAGGCATGAGCCACCGCGCCCATCCGGGTTATAAATTTGTTATTCCTCTTGTGGTTGTTTGGGATGTGTATTTGTGTGTGTGCACATATACATATTATTGAATTTACCACGTTACTCCAAAGGCTTTTCTTTAACTATTTTGCTTGATGTATATTCAACAATGATAGTCTCAAACAAACAAACAGAAAACAGAAACACATCTGATTTTTCACCAATACTGTTTATAGAATGAATCTGTATAGAGTCTGAGGCTATTCTGATGATAAATTGATTATAGGACTAGAAAAAACTATTTTGCCATTTTACAAACTCTCATTATGCACCTTATATAATAGTTCCAAGTTAATAAATTTGCTTCTATGTTTATAGTCTACAACAGAAAAAACTTATGAGGTACTATTTTCCAGATGAAAGTGAAAGTGATGACAGATTTTATTTCTTCACTTAAATTATTAAGATATACCTTTATTATGTGAGCATAATCGATTTTATTGCAGGGAAGGCCCTTAATTCAGTAAAAAAGACAAGATTGCTTCTTGAATATTAAAACATTTTCATCTTTTCAGTTTTGCTTTTCTTGATTATTTTTCTTTTTACTGAGTAATGTATATCATTTTTTAATTAAATATAATTTAAATAATATTTTACAATAATCTAAAATGCTTCTGAATACTTCGTCAATAACTTTTGGATGTTCAATAACATTAAGAACGATTACATTTTTCAAATATTATTTTTGCATTATTTATATGTTTGCATTTTTACAAGTGTTCTAATCGCATATTGCAAGGCCAAATCAGAATTTTTAAAGACTTCATTTTATTAACATTTAATTATAGCAATAATTAAGAAATAAAATAAAATGACATAAAATTTTAAATCATATGAATAAATTAAACCTATATATTTAAATTACTTTACAATTTTAGCATTTTTCATAAATATACAGAAATTTCATTTCGTATCTGTTGTTATAATTATTACAATATTAAAATTATGTAATGGAAAAATACATTAAGCATCAATTAAGACAGCATACATCTGTTGGCAAAAGAAAGAGAAGGTATATTTGATTTCCTTGATTTTTTCCTCTCAAAATTGAGAAATAGTTTAATTTTATAAATCTATATCCATTTAAATTACTTAAGTCACCATTTTAGCCTAATTTTTTCATTTTCTAGATAGATTACTCTTCTTTTTTCTTAAAAAAAAGGTATCATTTATTCTGGTTACGAGTAAAAGACAATTTTAGATGTGCAAATATTTAGATATGTAATCACAATTAGTATTTTTACTTCATGAAATCTTTAGGCGCAAACTTTGCTGTTCTAAACTAAAATTTGGATTCCAATTCAAAAGCTAAAGACTATCATAGTGTGATTATCCCAAATGAACTCTTTTACCTAACACTTACTGAAATTTCAAGATAAGTAGTATTGAGATTCTACAAGTCAGTAAGAGGTCTTCTCTCTGTGAACTTTTAGGTTTTAAGGGCACAAGGAATTTAATGGCTACTGGGCTAAAGAATGTAATAACCACTACTGTGCATATGATTTTAGTCATATAGGCAAAAAGCCTAGGAGTTACATTGTTTGGTCAGATGGCATAAGTACAATTAATTGCAATATAAATTGTCAGATTGTTTCATAAAGCTCTACAATAAATTATTCTTCACCAGAAATATATGAGAGAACACTAGAAACAATAAGTCCTATAGTTATCTTTAAATGCTACCAATTTGATGGTTTTTCTGGTGACATTCCTGTGTTATTTTAATTTGTATTTTCTTTACCACCCATGAATCTTAACAGATTTTTTCTATGAAAGTTCAGCACTTTGATTCATTCTTCTGTGGACTGACTGCCTGTGCCTATCCACTTCCCTGGCTCTCTTGCTTGGTGTGTGCATGTGGCTTAGTTTTAGCAAATAGAATATTTGCTGTCCCTGAGCCTTAGTCTTAAATCCTTATACAAGCACTTTTTCTTGTTATCTTACCTGTTTGTCTGACTTGGGTGATGATTCTTAGAGTAATTTTGGTTGCCAAATGTTAAAGTTAGTAGAACTACTATAAGCCTCTGAGTGGCTAAATGGTAGTTATTTCTGTGGCCTGAATACTCTTATGAGATATTCAGAGAGATTGAGAGGGAAGAATTATTTTTGAAGACATGGAATTTTTATTTTCTATTCCTTAGAACAGTTTAGTTTACCCTAAATAGTAACTACCTATTATTTTCCTCTGCTAATTTTTCTTGAGGCTCCTAACTTTATCAGGTGAATTTTAAGATATCTGTGAGGCTGGGCACGGTGGCTCACACCTGTAATCCCAGCACTTTGAGAGGCTGAGGCAGGCGGATCAGAAGGCCAGGAGTTCAAGACCAGCCTGGCCAACATGGTGAAACCTCGTCTCTACTAAAAAGAAAAAAATTAGCTAGGTATGGTGGCGCTCGCCTGCAGTTCCAACTACTCGGGAGGTTGAGGCAGGAGAATTGTGTGAACCCGGGAGGCAGAGGTTGCAGTGAGCCGAGATCGTGCCACTGCATACCAGCCTGGGTGACAGGCAAGACTATATCTCAAAATACATACATACATACATACAAACACATATATGTAATGTATAAATATTACCTTTTTGTCATCTATTTAACAAAATATTTGCTCAAATATATACTTCCATCTGACAACTATTTAACATTACTTTTCTAATATTTTTACCTTATTGCTGCTGACTTGATACATTTTTATTCATTCCACTACATCCTTGTTATTTTGGAAGATCTATCCTTTATTTCTTTATTAAGGGGTATCTTCAATTTTTTGACCTCACAATTAGATGCATAATTTTCAAGTACTATTTGAAATAAAGATACCTTCTATTGTCTTAGCAAATTAGTCAATTTCTCTACTTACCCCTCCTCAATAAGTTGACAAATTCAAAAAACATAAATTTCCCCATTTCTTTTTCACCACTCCCCTCCAAGAAACCTTGGAACCAGTTTGTTCCAAGGTTTGTTCCCACCAAAGTCTAGATTATACAAAAATATTTTAGAATGTTAATGATATATTGTTAGTAAAATTCTTCTATTGAATAGTTTATGATAATTTGTCAACATGAAATGTTAGGCAGACATTGAATACCAACTAGAGCTATTCATATTCTCTTAACGGGATTTCCATTGAGTTATTGATGAAAGATAAAGTGATATAAAGAAAATGTGTATACACCAAGTGCAAAATATTTTATACCCTTTATGTGGCCATGAATATTAAATCATAGTTATGGGAGGAAATTGCCAAATACATATATTAGGCTGTTAAAAACTGTTTTTCTGAGCTCTGGAAACTGATGGATAGGCATAGCAGAAGAGAGCAGAAGCAAGCCAAGAAATCAAGGAAAAGATACTGCTATATAACAAGAAATAAAATAAAAGTACGTAATGTAATTCCCTTAGAAAATGAAGTCGGGTGACTGAGAAGATGTGGAGAACCTTTATACCAATTTCCTTTTTCTAATCAGATTTGATTATAAAACATCGACATAAAATCAATATATGTGTATTATATTCATTTCAATTTTAATTTCAAGACCTAATTTTGCTGTCTTAAAGATCATGGATAACCCCATCTTATCTCAGTGTTCAATCTATAATTCATTAAAACAGTTTTCAAAAGAATTTTCAAAATACTTTATTATGATTACAACCATACTTAATCTTAAATTAGGACATACTATGTGATAAATACTATGGTGAAGTACTTCTCAATAATCCATATTCTTAAACACAACAAGTTCTAGGATCAAACTGCTTAAATTTATATATTTGCTCAATCATTTGCCACATAAATATTTTACAGATGAAGAAACTAAAACACTTTTTTTTTCTCCGAAACTGTTTCAGGGCTAAGTAACTTACTCATGAGCTTGGTAAAAATAAAAATTATTAGATACCTTGTGGATCCGTTGCATATATTTCAAATTTAAGTTTTTGAAGCACTTTTTGAAAAGACTTCTTTATGTGACATTTGTTCATTAAAAACACAGTGATTCTTTTTTTGAAATACGATCCAATTGTAAAATATCCTGTGTCTAGAAATGAATTTATTTTCCTAACAAAAATGTATTAAATTAATTAATTAAATTCTCAGAACCATTATTTAAACCAAGTTTGTTGATCCTACAACCAGTGAAAATAATCCCTACAATGCTAAAAATGTGTGTGCTATTATCCATCTATTTCCTAGTTCATTAAAGCCAAGTTATCATAATCTGGACTTTTTACCAAAGATTTTCAGGGATGTCAAAGGTTTTTACTCCTAAATTTAATATGCTGAAATATTACTTTATGTTCTATTTATTTTTTTCATTTAAAATAACATTTTTCTCTATGTTGCGATTGCAAAAATTAACTTATTTACATATATACATGATGTCATGATATAATCTAGGCACAATTTTGGATATTTCCTTTTCCCAATCTGTTTAACTTACACAGGTAATCAATATATGTAATCACCAAGCAAAAGACCTTCATTGGTTTCTATTTTGTTATTTTTTCCTCTGGAAAAGTGTTTAAGATAGTTTTAACATGAAGAATAGCGACCATATTTTTTGCATACTGTTATTTCTTCAAAGACGCTTAATCTATATAAACAAATTTTAAAAACCCTGGTATCAGTTGGGTAAAATCTCTGAGATTTAAAATATTTACTAAGCTACTAAATGTTAAGCAACACGGGATTTTGAGAAATTGGCCAATGGCAAGGATTGTAAGGGAACAAAAACTTGGAAACAATGCTGTTTGTCGACATCTTGAATAATTTGCTGTGCCTCTATTTTATGTCACAGTATTTCCACTTCCAGGCCTATACAAATAAATAAAATCAGTATTATACACAGAATAGGTACACACACACACACACACACACACACACACACACACACAAGCGTTCAGATATAAAGATTTCAACTGTAGCATCATTTGTAATAAACAATATTGGAAACAATGTTGGTATATATTGCTAAGAAAATGTGTTGAGATCAATTTAGTATAATTATATAATGAGATATATGATTATTTCATTTCTTTATGGAATGAGTGTAATGGGAAAATCCAGTGGAAAGCTTACGTTAAAGCTAAGAAAGTTAAATCTTTAAGACCTTTCATATGTATGGGTCTTTCTCGGGGTCATATGAGTTTTGCAAAATTTGCTATGTAAGATGCTTAATTAAAAATAAGAAAAGCCACACCTGTTTTGACTCCCATTTGCCTTTAGTCATTTATCTCCCTGTCAGGTAGTGCGGGTCCAGCCTACAATACTTTTAGTATTCAGCTAAGGGGAAGTTGAATAGAGACATATTTAATTTCAGTTCATTGAGGTTAATGTGTTTGATTTAAAGCCACTTCCATGTAAAATGAAGTTGTTTCTGGCAGTTCAGAGACTTTCTATTGCTCACTCCATAGATTCATCCAGTGTTGTAGCACAGAGGTGCAGAGGCAGAGAATGTTGTGAGACACATGTCATGCAGTACTTGGTACCAGAGGCTGCAGAGAAGGAAAGAAACAGCTGCCCTTAACCTAGCTCTCCTTTCCACTAATTCTTACCGTGGTGGTGATGTGGTGAGAACCAGATGTCCTTCATGTAAGGGGATCTGCTGTAGGCAAAGAACTCTGGAAAAAAGAACCTGAGCGTTTTTGTGGAAGAGTGACCCAGTTGCTCTTGACCCCCTTCTGAGTGTGTCTCCATAGTCACAAAACGGAAAAAAATCTGAGTTCTTACTTTAACCATTTGGATAAAAATAAATCTCTCTAGGGGAAAGATAACACTAGAGTCTCCAGCTTTGTAACTTCTGGGATGCATCTACTGGGTCTCATCTTCTCTTGAAATGTAAATATATATCCCTAGTGAGGTAAATCCCTCAGGATGGCCCCTAACCATGTTCTTTCTGTGAATTAATTTCCAGAGCTAGTTCTTAGCGTAGAGCAGAAGTCTGAGTAAAATTTGTTGAGAAAGTTCTTACTATGCATAAATAACTTTATTTACAGCCTAACACTATCCATTAAAATCAACAAGAGAAAGACAAACTAATCCAAAATGACCCTGCAATCGGGGCTCTAAAACAATGCAGGTTGACTGTAATTGTTAAAATGAATTTGGAAAGTATTTGACCTTATCTGTTAAAATTAAGTATATGCATACCCTGTGACCAATAATTCTGCTACTATCATCCAACAGGAACACATAAACATATTCAGGAAATGTACAAAATTGTTTATTAAAGAATTATTCACAACAGCTTAAATTGGAAGTTTTGCAGTTATCCATCAAGAGTGAAATAAACACATCATAGCATATATATAAATACATGGAGTATTATCAAGCAAGAAGGATAAATGGTATACCCAAGAGAGCTTTGATGACTCTCCCAAATACATTTCTGAGTAAGAGAAGCCATCCAGAAAAGAATATATATTGTTTAATTCTATTATAAAAGTTCAAAAATAGGTTAAAAAAGTCTATGTTATTAGCAATCAGAATAATAATTACTTGCAGATGGAGCAGATGGTAATTTAAGGGAATTTTATTGTGAAATATGTACAATCACTTTGTTAAAATTAATTAACTATATACTATTTGTGTATTACAATAAAAATGTTTAATAAACTATCTCATCGTTGTTATTTACATTTCTTAAATAGCATTTAGGCATGGGTGAAAAGGTTTAACTTGACTGGCATGAATTGCTCAAATACTGTACATTCCAAAGAGGGGTCCCTCTGCAGGACTAGACCTTAGTCTAGGAGTTCATCTCTGAGCCCTTGGAGTATTTTGCTTGATAAAAGTGTTCTTGTTTTCCTGAAGTCTTGGGCCATACTCTCCCAGTTCGACCAGAAAAGGTTATGTTATCAACGTGACTTATGTGAACATCTGTTTTTACTCTGGGTGTAGGAAGAAAGTTGTGCTTAAATGTCATGGAGCTGAGGTCAATCATATGGGCATTACATGACTATGTGACTGATCCCAGTAAACACCTTCGACAACTAGGCTCCAGCGAGTGTTCCTGGTTGGCAATGCTTTGCACTTTACATATTGTTGCTGGGATAATTAAACATGTCCCCATGCAACTGCTCTGGGAGGGGACACCTGAGAGCTTGGACTTGGTTTCTCCTGGAGTTCACTTCATTTGTCTTTTCTCTTAGCTGACTTCTATCTGTACTGTTTTTACTGTAATATACTGTAACAATGAGTACTACAGCTTCTGATTCCCTTAGAGATTTCCAGTAAATTACCAGGTCTCAAGTGGTCTTGGGAACCCCTGGCATATTACTGAACTTAAAGTTTTCAGAATATCTGTATTTGATATATTCCATGGCAAGCACTATATCCATCATACTTTTTCATTTATTGACATAACTCCAAATATTTCCACATATCTAAAATTCAGGAAAGTAACCCTATCCTTACCTCTGAGGATAAAGCTTGTTAACTATAGGTAAACCATGATAATTTAAATTCACCTGTTTGTGACTGACTTTTTTTAATGACTGCTTTTAGTCAAGAAAATGTGAGGGTAGGTCTGCCAAGAGCTACTGAAAAGAGTTACATTTTCTAAAAAAAAAAAAATCCTCGTCTTTTCTTTTTGAGAATAATTTGTGGTGTTTCTGAAATCATTGTCTGCCCATAAAGAGAGATTACTTAAACAAAAAGTCTGTATAAAATATGACTACAAAGAAAGATGAGAAAAAAATCATATTCTTGATTAATTTATTGATCTATTAAATTAATAGTCTTGGAAGTAGATCCCTCTTTGGACTTCCAGTTAGAGACAGGGCCTTACTCTATGGCCCAGGCTGGAGTGTAGTAGTGCCACCATAGCTCATTGTGTAGCTCACCGCAACCTCAAACTCCTGGACTCAAGCAAACCTCCTGCCTCAGCCTCCCAAGTGGCTGGAATACAGACAGGTGCCACCATGACCACACCTGGCTATTTTTTTTTCAATTGTAGAGCTAAGGTCTCCCTATGTTGCCCAGGCTGGTTTTGAACTCCTGGCCTCCAGTGAGCCTCCCACCTCAGCCTCCCAAAATGCTGGGATTCCAGGCATAAGCCACGAGACCTGGCCTATTTATAGTTTAAATTTTCTCATCGTCTAAATAAAAGATCTAAAACTAATTGTCTAAGTTGGCGGAGCAGTCAGAACACACACATTTATTGATTAAATTCATTGTCTTATATGGATGTGGTTCATGGTGCCCAAAACAATTACAATAGTAACATCAAAGGTCACTGGTTACAGATTATCATATCAAATATAATTATAATTAAAAAGTTTGAAATATTGTGAGATTTACCTAGATATGGCACAGAGATACAAATGAACACATGCTATTAAAAAGTGGTGCCAATAAAGTTGCTTGATGCAGGGTGGTCATAAACCTTCAATTTGTGAAAAACACATTATCTGTGAAGCCAAGTGAAGCAAAGCACAATCAATTGAAGTATGTCTATATTCCACTGCCTTTGTAGAGTGTATATAGTTGTATTACATAACATATATAATATATATACAAATATATATAATATATATATTTGGGTATATGTAATATATATTATATATATTTGTATATATATTATACATACATATTATATACATATATAGTATGCATATATATTATACATATATATTACATATATATATATATATATTTGATATGGACTGTGTCTTGTTTCCCCAAAATTAATATATTGAAGCCTTAACTCTCAATGTGTTAGCATTTGGAGGTGGGACCTTTGGAAGTAATTAGGTTTAGATGAGCCCATAAGGATGGGGTCTTCATGATGGGATTAATGCTCTTACAGGAAGAGACCAGAGAGCTAACACTTTCTATTCGCTATGTACGTACATAGGAAAAAGGCAGCCCTTTGAAAGCCCAGAAGATGACCCTCCTCAGACTTGCCAGGTTCAAGAACTATAAGAAATAAATGTCTATTGTTCAGACCAGCGCCTATCTTATTTTTATATAGCAGCCTGAGCTTACTAAAACAATTATTAAGAAAAAACAGCAAAGCAAACAAACAAAAGCAACTATGTTTAAAACTCCTGGAAAAATAATTTATCTTCTGTGCAGCTGTTTTTTAAGATCTTCCTTTAATGTATTTCCCCTCATTTTTCTTGCGTCTTATTTGGAGTCTGTAGTAGCATAGTTCTTAATTTGCTTATCAAGTAATTTACATCATATTAAACATGAATTTCAACCAGCAAAGAATATTATTAAAACTTCTGGACTAATGTTATTCACTTGTATTCTTTCCTACTACCCGGAAATGCTTTTGCTGGCAATGATTTCTCCTTTGATGTTGTGAAGTTTCGGGCCATTGTTAGAGAAACAGGTCCACTTGCCGATTAGCAGGCAGTAGGCTTTGTGACCTAAGTTCAGTAACA
Organism: Homo sapiens; assembly: GCF_000001405.40. NCBI lineage: Eukaryota > Metazoa > Chordata > Mammalia > Primates > Hominidae > Homo > Homo sapiens. The sequence continues at coordinate 43,985 of NT_187374.1, forward strand.
GAAAATCATTACTTTCTCTGGCAATTTGATACAACATGCTTCATATATTCCAAAATTCATCAATTTTCTGCTCTGTTGATGTCCTCCTTTATTATGTTAAAGAATTGCCACAGTATAGTTTATTCATAATGCTATTTTCAGTTGAATTACTAGAGCTCCACTTTAGCATTTTAAAATCATATTATCGCATGTTTATTTCCAAATTAACAGGGCAATAAAAATCATCTCTTAAAAATCAGGGGTATCAGTATTCATCTCTTTTCATGTAAAAATATTAAAAAATTAGAAGTGAAATATCACAGAAGATATTTTAAATATGAAGACAAATAATGAAATAAGGAGAATTTTAAAAGCCAAATATTTTGGATCAGAGTAAGAAGTTAGTGGTAAAAGATAAAGGTTATCCAACAACCTTTCGCAAATGAAGCCAAAAAAGTAGGTTTGCGCAACACTGAATAACTAAAATTACAACTCTTTTATATTTCATTAAAAAACATGCCCTTTTTCAAAAAGTCAGATCGGTTTAATCACACCATAAAATTATTTACCCAAAGTTAAGGAAAAATAGCATGCTTTCATATAAGTAGAAAATTTAAATACACAATTGATATTTAACGTTCTCTAAGCAATGTAAAGATTGCTTTTAAGCCATCTAACAGAGTTGTATTTATTATTAGGGATCAAAAAGTGTGTAAATTAGCACAATATATTTTATATAAAATGAATCTGTTTTCTCTTATAAGAGTATACAATTATAATTCTGAATTTTGAATTTATTCTTAAACAAATAAAAACAACTGCTATATCTGAATTCTTGTTTTATGTCACTCTATCTATCTATATTTTTTTACTATCTATATTTTTTTTACTATCTATATATTTTTACTATCTATATTTTAGGCATTTTTACTATCTATATTTTAGGCATTTTATAGGTTAAGTATGCGCAGTTGGTGCTTACTAAATATAGCCTAGCAATGCTCCCTGTTTCTTTTTTTTAACCTTTAATTTCAGGGGTACATGTGCAGGTTTGTTATATAAATACATTTGCATCATGGGGGTTTGTTTTACAGATTAATTCATTACCCAGGCATTAAGCCTATGACTCATTAGTTATTTTTCCAGATGGTCTCCCTCCCCCGACCTTCTGCCCTCTTGTAGGGCCCAGTGTCTGTTGTTCCCTTCTTTGTGTGCATGTGTTCTCATCATTTAGCTTGCACTTACAAGTGAGAGAATGTGGCATTTGTTTTTTCGTTCCTACATTGATTTGCTAAGGATAATGGCCTTCAATTCCATCCATATTCCTTCAAAACACATGATCTCGTTCCTTTTTATGGCTACATCTTATTCCCTGGTGTATATGTTCAACATTTTATTTATCCAGTCTTTACTATTGATGGCCATTTAGGTCTATTCCATGTCTTTGTTAATGTGAATAGTGCTGCAGTGAACATATGTGTGCGTGTGTCTTTATAATAGAACAATTTATATTCCTTTGGATATATACCCAGTAATGGGATTGCTGGGTCTAATGGTAGTTCTGTTTTTAGGTCTTTGAGGAATAACCACACTGTTTTCCACAATGGCTGAATTAATTTACATTCTCTTTAACAGTGTATAGTGTTCCTTTTTCTCTGCAACCTTACCAGCACCTGCTATTTTTTGACTTTTTAATAATAGCCATTCTGACTGGTGTGCTTACTGGTTCTTAATCTCACCCACATCTTAGAATAATGTGGAACATTCAAACTACCCACACCTGTTTCTAAAAACTGAAGTTCTGTTTTAATTGGACTTTAGTAGAGCCAAGAAATGAGTATTACTTAAAATCTTGCCATGTGATTCTACTAGGAAGCCAGAGTTCAGAGCCATGGATTACATTTTTAATATAAATACATATTATTAGTTGAAGCAGTTTTAAGTTAGGATAGCTGTAACGTTGATTGAAAGGGGAATACTTAAAACAGAACCCTGCCTTGGGTCGTCAAGACTTAAAAAATTCTTCTGTTTTTATTCGATTAAATATAATCATGCATTCATTTACTTTAGCATTTGTAATTCTAAAACACATTGCAAATTTCACAAAACTATCATTTTCTAAATGTCAACACTCTAAATACACCATTTATTTTTTAAAGTAGTATATTCACTTCAAATTCCATTGCTGTGTCAAGAGTTAGTTGAACTTAAAATATAATTAATAGTTACTCAGCAAAAATAGAAAGATGTTAGCTGACTGTGTCAAAAGAAATATTTTAACACTGATTTCATTTTTACTAAATGACTGAATTTTTCTTTATGTTTTATGCTTAAGCTTCTCTGCTTTCTTTCTATTTTTTGTGGTTTAAATAAAGAACCATGATTATCTGTATAACTGATTGCTCAAAGTAATTAATCATTTTTCTTTTGAAATTACCAGGGTAAATTAAGAATCTTATAATTACAGAGTTTTCTCTTGCCTAGAGGAAACATACTGAGAAACTGTGTTAGGAAATTATTATTTCAAAACCCAGTCTAAGTTCTTAGCCACTGGACATTTAAAAAATACATATTACATATACTTTTTCTAACATGATTGAGAATATAGTTTGTTTCAGATTTCCACATTTCTTAAATGAAAACAATAAAGAATTCAAAAGGCAAAAGGTACTGTAAAAAAAGTTATTTGATCACATGTAAATGAAAATTCTACCTTCTTATTGAATTTTACTAATTAGAGGGGTAATTATTCTCACATCAGATTATTTGCACAAGATACTATTTCTGATGTATTTTATTAAAGAATTCAAAAGGCAAAGGTATTGTAAAAAAAGTTATTTGATCACATGTAAATGAAAATTCTACCTTCTTATTGAATTTTACTAATTAGAGGGGTAATTATTCTGGCATCAGATTATTTGCACAAGATACTATTTCTGACCTATTTTATTAAAAGTCACCATTTATTATTGGTTTTCATCTCATGTTATATATGCAAATGAAACTCCTTTGAGTATGCAATGGTTATTTACTGCAGTGAATATTGTACAATCATATTTATCAAAATGTTCTTCTTCAAAATATTTTTCTAATGCTTATTAGCAAGCAGTTTTTATATTTGAGAAAGTGAAACGTGGACTTTAGAATCAGATTTAGGCCATATGGTAAGCCAGCTGCCTGAAAAATCTTCATAACAAATGCTAATATTGATGAATTTTGGAGATGTCATTATATATGTATACCTAAAACTACAGGAAAACAAAGAAAATTACCAATGCCAGAAACACAGGCAACACTTAAAACCAGCAAGACCAGTTGCTCTGACTTTTCCGGATGGAAAGAGAGATGGACCCAGCAATTTATAAATTTGGATTTTCTTAAGGCTCATCAGCGAAGGGGTGATGCATAGCTGGACCTAGATTGAAAGAGTAAATAAAAATACTTATTAACCAACCCAGTACAATTAAGAAGTTTGTCTGTAAATACTAGAACAATTGGTAGAAAAAACAAATACATATTCTCCCCTGAGAATCTGTAACATCAGGATTATCCATCATGTGTTGTTTGACTTCAAACTTATAAATTATACAGCCTTGAGCCATGAAGCATCAAATTAACAAATTAACATATAGATTATTTTCTGGCCATTGATACACTGGAAGTTTGGTGGAAGAGATGCAAAATCATTCCAGAGCAAAAGCTGAAAATTTTTTTCTGCAAAGGGCAAGATAATAAACATCTTACACATTATTGACCATTTTAAAGAGCAGCTTATAGTCACCAAAAGGAATATCAACAAACTAGCAAGTGAAGATAAAGAATTATCCAGATTGCAGAATATGAACCAAAAGATAGAACATAAGATAAGCTGAAAGACATGGAGGATTGAATAAAACTATCCAAGGAATATCTAAAAGAAATTCTGAAAAGAGAATAGTAGGAATAAAAATAATGGGATTATAATAGTTTGCTTCTACTTCTGGGATGAATGTAGTAGTTGTATAAGACACATACTCTTATTAAAATGACAAGAAAAAGCTGGATAAATTATAAAAGCCACATATCTTTTAAAGCATGAGGGAACTGTAGAAGCAATGATGAATAGATGAACTAAGAGTACAGACATACCTGAGTGTTCGAAATGGGCCAAAGAGCATGATGCATTCATAGCATCTACTAGTCAATTCTGGCACAAATTAGGAAGTAGAAGGCATGTTCAATGGAGGCAAAACAGTAATATATATATAAACATGTGGGTAAGTCTAAAGAAGCATTTGCTATATTGAATCAAACAAATACAATAAAGTAAAACAAATACTAGAGAACATTGTTAAACTGAGTTAAGTTTGGCTCAAAGTGCCCATTGTACTTGCCTAATTAGGTTTGGCCCAAAGTGGCATCCATACATAGTGACTGTACTCTAACTTAACGTGTAAATAAGTTGTAAGCTAATGTAGATGTATGGACTTGTAACCAAGCAACTGAGACTCAACCAATCATAGGAGCCAAACCCTTAGTCAATCCCAAACTGAATGCTGCCAAATTATGCCCAAATAAGGCAAATATTGAACTGCACCAATCAGGGAAACTCTGAATATAATTTTCTATGTTCTGGTTATAAATACATCTCACCACTCTGGATGTGGAGTCACTCTGAACAATCTTCGTTCTGGGATGGTGCCTAGTTCTCAAACCTTTTTCTTGGTCAAATAAACTTAGTGAAATTTAACATGTCTTAGTTGTATTTTTTTAAACAACATTCAAAGACCTACAAAATAGGACAGGGAACTTGTATTTAGACTATACTGTCTAAATGCAACTTATTTATGCTAGTTATTTGTGTGTTATAGAGAATATAGTGATATTGATATACTTTAAGTCATTTATGTACATCGGGAAGAGGAAAAAAAAAAAGTTACCCAATTCAATGGAAGTCAAATGAAGAAGCAGAATAGAGCTACCAGAAAAACATGATAAGAGTTAAAGAAGATGGGAGCTCAAAGAGGAAAACTATCACTGAATTTGGGGAACTTCTCCTTGCAAGCCAAGTTAACTTTTGTTCAGATAGAATTCTCAGATGAAAAAAGACAGAAATTATAGTCTATGGCTGACAAAATATAGAGAGTCTGCCCAGAGACTTTTGCTATTCTAAGCTAGAATCTTAAGGTTAATACACTTCAATGAAGGAGAAAACAAGAACCAACTCTTGAGCATACTTGAAGTCTGGGACCAAATCTGAGTTGTTCAGATACTCATATTTTCACCCTGATTTAAGATGATCTGATATGGGTAATGCTTGCATAATCAAAACTTCTGGAGGAACTTATCTCCATAGTAGACAACAAGGTAATCTTAAACTATCCTGACACTAATTGGGTGTATAAACTTGGCCAAGTCATTTTTCCCTTTGAGTCTCAGTTTTGTCAACTGTAACATGAATATGAAAGTAACTAACTTGTAGGTCTGTATTAAAAATTAAGTCAATTATTTTGGTAAATCAGTTGTATGCAATATAGCGTACATGAGAGAGAGAGAGAGTTTGTGTGCATGTGTTTAGAGAGAGATGGAGAGAGAGACACACATACACAGAGAAGAATCAGTATATTGTTAAGGATAACAACATCTAGAAACAAATCGACAGACAAGAAAAACAATTTAAGTAATAGAATTTTCAGACAGAAGTTAAAGAACAAAACATATGCTTAAAGATGCCCACAGGGAAATACAAATATGATCATGGTAGATTTAGAAAGGAAATACCTGCTAGAAGTAACAGAGAACTACTGGAAAATTAATGAAGTGCAGTAGGAAGAAAGAAAATAAATTATTGAAGAAAAGTTTCAAGATACAAAGGATAGAGTTAAACATTAATATATGTCTAAACTTTACCAGGAAAAGAGAGACAAAGGCAATAACTAAGGAAATAATAGAGAATGTTTTTAGTACTGATTGAAGACAGATATAAGCAGATTTAAGCAGGTCAACAAATTCTGAGTGGAGTAAGAAAAGTACAGTGAAGAAAACAAAAGACAAAGCCAAAATTCTGTAAAGCAACCTGAAAATAAGGCTTATTACCATTAAATAACAACATTTCAGTCTATAGAAACTTACATCCTAGGAGAGGGAATACTTTAAATAAAAAAGTAATGGATGAAAGGAGAAAAATTCCATCAAGTGGGATAACTGTGATCCATAAAGAAGTAGCAGGTGAGATGGGGAGTAAAAAAACAAACATATATAAATCCTCTTATTTTATATATTATAGCTCAATTTTATTCCCATCTTTGATAATCCAAAAATTATACACTGATCAATATATCTGTTCTAAATGTTAAGATTCCAACAGGTAGATCATGTCTCTCAAAATGTGTTGCACATTGCCTCAACTGGAGGTTCATGATGCATATTAAAATAAGAAAGGCTTAGAGAATTCTTACAGCAAGGAAAACAATGTAAGTTTATTTAATTTAGTGTTTTAGCTACATATTTAATAATTATTTTAGGTAGGCAGTTGTTTAAAGACAATAGAAATTACTTGGAATTTAAAGCAAGCAAAAATGAATGTGTTGGAAAAGCACAACGCAGCTCTTAGAATTGAAAAAAAAGTAGGTGAACCAGGCTCAGGCAGGAATCAGAGAGCAAGTCAGAACCAATATCAGAAAAAGGAAGTTCTGCTTTTCATGTGGCTATTGTCCTGTCAGTCATGACCGCTGGCCACTGCCAGCAAAGCATGCACAGGCATTTTCTGGAATGCTGCTGGGCTCTGCTTTAGCTTGTCACTTCCCACTTTACCATTGGATTCCAAAAATCTATCCATCCGACAGGAATAATTTCAGACTCTCTGCCTACTTCTTACCTTGCAAGGTTAAAAATGCAAGGAATGAGTGGCTATTCTTGGGTCTCTGGTTTACATTTTAGCCTCCAGGTGGTGGGAAGAGAAAAATCTACTCACAAACAGCTTCAAAACGGAAAGGTCCTATATTGGCATTCCTACATAAAAGAAAGTACTGGGGGGCTTGACAAATGGACATTTGCCTTCAAAGAACACATATTCTCCTTTAGACAAAGTTTGCACTTATATAGCACAATTAACCTACTTCTTATCAATCAATAAAATGAAGAGACAATTACAGAACAGGATAAGGTGTTTGCAAACTATGTATTCAACAAGGTTTAATATCCAGAATATATAAGGAACTCAAAAAACTCAATAGCAAAAGAAAAAGTTGATTAAAAAATGGACAAAAGAAGACATACAAATGGCCAAAAAATATATAAAGAAATGCTCAACATCATTAAGCCTCAGAAAAATGCAAAACAAACCCACAATGAGCTATTACCTTACCCCAGTTTAAATGATGGATATTATCAAGAAGACAAAATATAACAAATGGAAACGATAATGTGGAGAAAGAGGAAAGTTATACACTGTTGGTGGGAATATAAAATAGTATAGCTGTTATGAAAAGCAGCATGGAGTTTCCACAAAAAATAAAAAAGAGAACTATTATATTACCCAGCAATCCCACTACTGCGTACGTAATAAAAAAAAAATGAAATTAGTATGACAAAGAGACATCTGCACCCAGGGATATTGAAGCATCATTCAAAATAGCCGTGATATGGAATCTGCCTAAATACTCATCTAACAACAAATGGATAAAGAAAATGTGGTGTATAAATGTATATCTATCTATCTATCTATCTATCTATCTATCTATCTATCTATCATCTGTCTATTTATCATCTATCTATCCACCCCTCCAGAACAATATTCAGCCATAAAATGCTGTTATTTTTAGCAATGTGGATGAAGTTGGAGGACATTTTGTTAAGTGAAATAAGCCAGGCACAGAAAGACAAGCACTGCATGATCAAATTCATATCTGGAGTTTTAAGGATATGGAGAAAGATGTTAGGATTTTTCCTTGTGTGGACAATATTTAAAATTATTATATTTGGAGAGATAACTAGAATACTCCTGCCAACTTAACTATGGCCCATTGAATTGCTCTGAATTATAAATCAGATACTCTGAATTAGCACTTCACTACCATTTTTAAATCTACAGCATTTATGTAAATTAATAACTGCTGTAGAGCATACTACTCATGGCTGAAAAAAGTGACCTGATGATTAGAGCTATCTAAGACTCACCTGATGTCTAACAGCACTAAGGATCAAGCTATCACCTCTCCCTTAACACATCTTTCACACCAGTGTGCTAGAGCAGATAGCTGAAAAGTTTTCCCTAAGCCAGAGATCATTCTGACAAGGCATATGGAACAATAGAGATGTCAACATGCTTTCAAGACAAGTAACAGTAATCCTGGCTCTTAACTTGCTTTAATAATAATGAATTCTTTTATCAAGTCCTGAGGAATGAGGGCTTCCAGGTGCCATATTTCCAGGTGCTTATCAGAATTTTTCTTTGCTGATAAGAACAATTGTTGCAGCATGCTTTGCTATTCATATACAGAAAGACAAGAAATTTATATTCTAATAATAGAACACAAGTCCATCTCTTGCATCTGATTTAGCCAGATTAAGTCACCTTTCCACCAATATCAATCTGGAAGTGATATCATGAACTAAATGGTGTCAACCTGGGGTTTCTATTATATCTCGACAAAGGAAAAGAAGTTGCCATCATTGGCAAGGTACATACAGGATACATCTCTGTTTCGGGAGATGGGATGAGATTTCCCTGATTCTCCTACACTGCAGAGGGTAGAGGGAGGTATTTATATAATACACGGGATTTTAATTGAAGAAGCAAAGAGGAATGGATTATTGGGATTAATAGTGTTTATCCAATACAAGATGAAAAACAACATATTATTGTTTGTATTGTGATGGTTCTAGAATAAAACACATCATTTCTCTAATTTTGGTTAGATCTTTGCTGAAAGAAAAAGATAAATAAAATATCCTACAGTTTATCCATATCCATGTTCCTCTACACTAAATATTCATCTTTGATTAGTTATTTTTAACTATATTTGATTTCTTTATAAATTACCTTTTGAAACTTTAAACACATAAAGACATTGTTTCCCCTTAAAGGATTTTTCTTTTGCTTTCTTTTGTTTTTTTTTTTATCTAAAACTTTCTTTCAAAAACAATGACTTTCATAAACTTGCAACTTGTTAAATATAGTATTTTTATTAACATTCTAGTTTGTAACACAAGGCAAAACCTAAACACTTACCATTTATAAATAATGGGTAATACTGTTTCAACTTAACCTTGAGAATGTAGAAAAAAAATTGAGTCCAGTCTGATAGCAGCCAAAAGATCTCAGAAACAGTAATCTTAGTGCTAGCCTGGCAGACACAATCTGCACAGAACTTAATCAAAATAAGATTAAAAGTCCATAGCAATTTCCTTGAGTGGCCAGTCAGATATCCCCCACTACAGTCACCAACCAGCCTGCCCCTGGGGCCTATTTCAGAAATAAATTGGTTTGTAGATGAGCTGATGCAGAAGAAGGAAAAAAAAATGTTTTCTTGAGACTGTACCTAAATCTTATCAAGTAATACAAGGAAGCTTCAAAGTCTTTTTATTCTGAAATGTTATTTTATTCTGCTTTATATCATCTTAAATTTATTAGTATTATATTAAATATTAGTTTATGTAAGCTTATTATTTGACTCTGTATAGGATATAATAGATGGCATTGAATATTTAATAAGATAGCAACAGCAATAACACCTGGGAAATTGTTCAGGGAAGGATTCTATTCAGTTATTAAAAGATTTGCATACTTATTTCACTAATATTACTCAGCAATCACAAACATTGGGTAATGCTAGACAAATCTGCAAGAGGTACTGTTATTCCAGCACCTTAAAAACATTTTTCAATCTGAAAGATACTTCTAGATGTTTTTTTCCATAACAGAGCAGATGATTTCTAAGTGTTTATATCACTGAAACTTCACAGTATTAGTGGAATATGTTATCCTTTATACCAAAAGTAATCAGATTATTTTATAAAGCAATTATCAATTAAATATAGATTACTAAGAACATACTGTATAAAATGCCTTATGGGCTATTAATTCTGCATGCATTGCCACATTTGATTATCTCAAAAAACCTCCTGAAATATGTATTCTTAACACACTTTTATTGAGATTATGAGTAATAAAAGTTAAAAGATTTTCCCAAAGACGTACAAGTAAAACAGGTCCTCAAATAAAGTTGTTTTGTTCAATGATGTTTCGCTATAATGTAGATGAGAATAAATATTGATTCCTGGACAGGGCTACCATCTGTGTAGGGTCTGCATGTTCTCCCCATGCCTGCATGGGTTTTCTCCAGGAACTCCTGCTTCCTCTCACATCCCCAAGATGTGCATGTCTGGTTAATTGGCATTTCCCCACTGTGTGTCCCCATGTGAGTGAATGTGGTTGTGCCCTGCCATGGAATAGCATCCTGTGCAGGGTTTATTCCTGCATTGCATGTTGAGTAAGAATAGGCTCTTGCTACCCGAGACTCTGAACTGGAATAATTGGGTAAATAATCATCTTACTTGTTTTTATTAATCTTTTTAAAAATGTATGTATACCTCACACTTATTTCAGTGTTGAATGTTTTAAGTGTTTTAGTCTTCATTTAGAAGTACAGTGATAATATTGTGACCAGAAATATGCAGTAGGAACTTATATATTGTTTTATCAATTGGCCTATGGTAAAATTTGTTTCATTGTTCACCATTTTGCTGATAGTTGCAGTTTCCAATAATCTACTGATATTAAATGTGGACTTACTATGTAAACAATAGCAAGGATCCTAAATCCTAGGTTACATCTAAGTTTAAATGGCTTGACACCATGTCAGAATTGCCTTATCACCATGCTCTTATAAGTGTTTCATTTTTTAAAACAGTGCAAACTGAATTTTGCATGAGAATTATCATTAAAAAATTTTTTGTTACAGATAGGATCTTGCTATGTTGCCCAGGTTGACCTTGAAGTTCTGGGTTCAAATGATCCTTTTGCCTCAGCATCCAGTGTACCTGGGACTACAACTGTGTGCCACCATACCCAGGGCTGCAGGAAAAGTTGTTACGTAAAGCAGTGATTTATGAAAATAAGACTTTATTTGGGCAACATAGAAAATGTAAACAAAAAGAGTTGCTCAACATAAAACTTACTCAAGTCACAATTTACCTCTGACATGACATATTTCCATCCACTTCAGAAAAAAAATGTGTATACCTTTTTATTTCTTTTTTTCTTTTCTTTCCGTTTTTTTTTTTTTTTTTTTTTTTTTAGACGGGCTGGAGTGCAGTCACAGCTCACTGCACCTTTGAGCTCCTGGGCTAAAGTAATCTTCCTTTCTCAGCCTCTTGAGTAGTTAGAACTAAGACATGCACCACCATGTCTGGCTAATTTTTAACATTTTTTTTGTGGAGATGGAGTCTCGCTATGTTGCCCAGGCTGGTCTTGAACTTCTGGCCACATGCTATCCTCTCACCTCGACCCCCCAAAGCACTTGGATTATTGGCTCAAGTACTTAGATGTATTAACCAGGATCACAGAGAGCTTGATTTTGTAAGTTTGAGTTAGCATGTAATAACTGCAGTTGATTTTGATGCATGTATTTAATGAGAATCATTGCTTTAGACTATATGATATTTGAAACAAAAGAGCAATAGGACTGCACGGCACAATATAAAGTCTGTTATGACATAGTGACTTTAATATATTCTAATTAAAATTATAATAGTAAAAGCTAAAAATGACAAGACAATTGTTAGAAATCATATCACGACAGCATAATCATGTATCCAGAAGTGATTGATACAATAACATGAACTGACATTTTGCTACAATATTAATCAGTTAATACAGGTTTTGAGGTTTCAGTTAACTGGTTAATCATAAAATATTATATAAAATATTATCAAATTGTTGTGTAAGTCATCTCACTGTATTCTAAAATTTATGTTATTTTATATTTCTAATCTGTGTTTTGCAGAGATCATGAAAATTTTAACTGGGTAACTGAAGAAGAATTGTCCCAAGGACTTGAATAAATGTTAATGTTCATAACAGTATGTTCTAAAAAGAAATTTAAGTAAAAAAGGAAAAAACATATTTCATTTTAAAAATATCTACCCATGCACATCATTCATCTAAAAAACCCATTTACTATAATCATCTAGTTATGTAAAGATATACCCAATAGCTACTTAAAATAGAAATATTCTATTTCATTATTAGAAATTATTATTTTAAAAGGTTGTTAAAACATCAAAAATATGCTTATTTCTAGTAACCAGAGAACACAGCAGGGTTATGAAACTTTGGATTCCTGTTTGGTTTGGCAGGTAACTAGATTAACAAAAATACGAGGTTTTGAGTTTCAAAACACAATAGCATATTTAAAAAATACTTGGTGGGGGTCTGGCAATTGAGAGACCTTAGTAGCATAATCATTGGTCTTCACAATCACTGCCAGGTACTCTTTCAAACTAGCTTGAATAACTGCAAAACACATCATCAACCCAGCTTTTTTTTGCTGGACCTGGGCATATATAAACTGATTAGATTTAAAAATAAAAAAATTAGAGTTTTTTCTGTTGTGTTTGAAGAGGTGAACCCTTGGACTCAAAATCTCTCAAAAGTCCTGTCTTTCACTTCAGAATCTGGGCTAATTTGCACAGGAATATACTTCTGTGTTTTAATAAACACATGTAATTTTTCTGTTTTCATCTTGCAAGTAATGACAGCTTTGTTCTCAAACCAATTTTGTTTTTTATAGATTTTACCCTGATATATAATGAAGAGACAATTACATGATCTGTGTAGAAATTCTTCCTCTAAACTAAATTATACTACCTTAGAAATCTGACATGAAAGTACCAAAACTATGTAAATTCACTTCACCAAGAAAATTATTACATAAAACAGTGATTCATGGAAATAAGACTTGATTTGGGCAACATAGAAAGTATTAAAACTAAAAAGGAGTTGCTTGAGATAAAGTTTACCCAAGTGACAATTTTACCTGTGACAAACATATTTCCATCCACTGCAGTAACAAATGTGTTTAGTTTATTAAAGTATATGTTTAACAGCAAAAAATAAATAGAATAAATTTATTATCCCTATCCAGTGATAAACACAATTTTAAAATAAAAATAAAAACATCCTGCTTATATTTGCTATACTATTTCATGCGTTAGGCTAAGATATATGGTTATTTCCATGCTTTCAGGATGTGTTTAACAAATCTCTTATACATTTTCCTATTGTTATTTTAATATCTTGAATATAATATTAAATAAACATTTCTACAAATAATTTGAACCTCAAAGTTTCATAAGCATCTATCCTTCAATATTTAGGCCTAAAAAGTAATCTCCATTATCTATCAAATTCTAAATTTGAACTTATTATGGTTTACTCCTACTTTTTAATTATTACTTTGGTTAAAGATACTTCATGATATTATTAAGTTCCTTAGTAATAATGTATATGGTTGTATTACATTCATTTATCCATCAAGACTAACTTTGAGCTACTATGAAATATAATTCAAATCATTCATATAATATCTAATGAATGATTATTATAATACAAAGCACTATACTAGGTTTCATAAGTGATACAAAAACAAGTGCAACCGCCTCAGTAACCAACACATTTGCAGTCTAATAGAGGAAAACAAGCCCTGTTATAAGAATAATTATAGTAAAAGACTATATAAAATACAATCCATTTTGACACACACCTTCAACTCTATTTGCTAATTCTAATTTTCACTCTTCAGTTTATTTTTAGATTAAATAGTTATTTTCACAAATCAGTCTGAGGACAGAGTTTTTTGTTTTGTTTTGTTTTGTTTTGTTTTGTTTTTGTGAGTCATCAGCACTATGCAATTGCATATACCTGTCGTGTTTGGTCTACAGAGGCTAAACATCATGTAATAGTTTTTATGCATTTTGTTCATAGGTTACTGGGTGCTTTAAGGCAAAACTGAATGAGTTTCCAATAGTCCAAAACTACAAGAAATACAGACACAAAGTGCCTGGGGTTATCCTCAAATGAAGTTAGATTTGAATTGCATTCAATAACCTTTTTTACAATGTGTAGATGCTCAAAGCAAATACAATAGTTTCTCTTTGCCTCTGTGACTTGAGTTCATAGTGTTGTGTTTAAATATAACTTTTGTAATGTCTACTTCACTGAAGAAACTTTTAAAAAATTTGACTTATAATGGTTTTCTGTAACAACCTATGGTGCTTGGTTTGTAAAGTAAAACAGGAACTCAATTTAGTACCTACTGAATAATAACATTTTTTAACTGAGATTCCACTCATAAAGCACCTAAATGTTTAAAGTTAAAGCATATTATGTTGATATTAAATTTAAAAAGAACAAGTTAGAGAAGAAATAAAGAAAAAAAACTTCGGAGAATAAACTGCTTCCAAGTATACAAGTACTAAACAGGCTATACACTGGTATGCTCATTATAAATAAAAACATTCATTCATGTCATTTTATCTCATTACTACATATTTAAAATAATCTCTTATCATTATAGTAGGCCATCATTTTCCAAATAGCATCAAGAATCCTTATTTTGAAATAGTAATCAGATCATGTAGTTCTCCTGATCAGATCTCTTCACACTCTAGAATAATATGCATACCTTCATTTTAGCTTTTAGACTTTTTTCTGATCTAGCTCTAGATTATTGTTTGATCTCATTTTTACTATTCTTCTCATTGCTCATTCAATTCAATTTCAAGCATAATGATTTTTTGCTCTTTTTGGAATACACTAGCTTTTTGATTTCATTAGAGCCTGTACACTTCCCTCTTCCTGAAATGTTCTTCCCCAAATTTATGTATAGCTTATTCTCTCTTTGTTCAGGGCTCAGTGTAATTGTAGATTGTTCTCTACCTTGAATATGTCTTACCCCTCATTTGACTGGTTTTCCTTCATACCAATTATTTGTATTCTAAAATATTTTATATTTTTCCGTTGACTTGTTCACTGAGTTCCTTCCTCTAAAATGTAGCTTCATGAGGGCAGATATTTTGTTAAAATTGTATGCTACTGTATCACTAGAACTGAGAACAATGCCTGAACAGAGTAGCTACTCATGACTCATTGGCTAAAACAAGTTAATGAATGAGAACAGGCAGGTAGAAAGCCAGGAAGGAAAGGAGGCTATTATATTAAGTTGAATGAGGGATTAAATGAATATAAATCAGCTGAAAGTAGCATAGGTTATGCAATATGCTTAATAAAGTATGTTTGTCTATTTTCGTTATGTAATCCAAAACCTGGCCAACCACAAAACTTTTTACTGACTTTCTCTTTCTTCCCTGTTTAGTGCAGCATAAAATTAGTTATTGATTTTATCTCTTAACGCTCCGCCTCTATTAGTGAAAGGATCTTCTCTTATCATATTTCCAGTCCAAAGTTCAGTGGAAACTTTTTACACTCTTACAGTCTATTTGAAATCCTTATATCATAAACATACCAGCACTTATCACAGCACTATTCACAGTAGCAAAGATACTGAATCAACCTAAGTGTCCACCAATAGATGATTTGATAAAGAAAATGTGAGATGGTACCATCTCACTCCAGTTAGAATGGAGATCACTAAAAAGTCAGAAAACAACAGATACTGGAGAGAATGTGGAGCAATAGGCATGCTTTTACACTGTTGGTGGGAGTGTAAATTAGTTTAACCATTGTGGAAGACAGTGTGGCGATTCTTCAGGGATCTAGAACTAGAAATACATTTTGACCCAGCAATCCCATTACTGGGTATATACCCAAAGGATTATAAATCATCCTACTCTGAAGACACATGCACACATATGTTTATTGCAGCACTGTTCACAATAGCAAAGACTTGGAACCAACCCAAATGCCCACCAATGATAGACTGGATAAAGAAAATGTGGCACATATACATCATGGAATACTATGCAGCCATAAAAAATGATGAGTTCATGTCCTTTGCAGGGACATGAATGAAATTGGCAAACATCATTCTCAGCAAGCTAACACAAGAACAGAAAACCAAACACTGCATGCTCTCACTCATAAGTGGGAGTTGAACAATGAGAATACATGGACACAAGGAGGGGAACATCACACTCCACAGCCTGTCAGAGGGTGAGGGGCTAGGGGAGGGATAGCATTTAGAGAAAGACTTAATGTAGATGACAGGTTGATGAGTGCAGCAAACCACTATGGCACGTGTATACCTACATAACAAACCTGCAAGTTCTGCACATGTACCCCAGAACTTAAAGTATAATAAAAAAGATTTCCACCTAAAGATAAGAAAATATGATGATATACACAATGGAATACAATTCAGCCTTTAAAAATAATATACTTATGAAACATGTATTTTGGAGCAGTTTGGATGGAACTGGAGGACATTATCTTAGATGAAAGTCAGACACAGAAAGACAGATACTGCGTGTTCTCATTTATAAATGGGAGGTAATTAATATGTTCACATGGACATAGAGTGTGCAATGATAGAGACTTGGACATGAAGACTTGGAAGAGTTGGGGGAGAGTGAGAGGGGAGTAAATGATAAGAAATTATTTAATGAGTACAAGGTATGCTTTTCAGGTGATGAATATGCTGAACATCCTGACTTCACTATGCAACCTATGGATGTAACAAAATTACAGTTGCACTCCATAAATTTATAGAAATAAAATAAAATAAATTACATTTTAATAGAGACACTATCAGAGAAATACACCAAAATGACTGGACTGAATTGGAAATGGAAAAGGTAGAAATCTCATTTTCTCTTCAGAGACTATTGCAAATTTGTATGTATGTAATACACTAATCACATCAGATGCCAGTTTTAAGTACATATTTTCCTCCACTGTGTAGATTTGTTTCAATAAGGAAACATTTCAGAACATACATAATCAATACAAAGCCATTCTCAGTAATTTATTTTCATTCCATGCCATGTTACTTAGGTTTACATTTACTACCTTAGAAAACATTATGTACAAAAACTTTTCTTTCTTATAGTGAATTAAATCTCCAACTGTTTTTGTTTCTATTTTAAGAAAGTAAATATTATGACATAAATGTTTGCAATGTTTTTGTTTAAATAAAGTATTTCTAGATTTCTCTTAATTCATAGTTACGTTGGTTTCTTTATTGATGTTCAAACACAGACTTTTAAAAATTCATATTTTTTTAAAATGTGTGACTATTTACTTTCTAGTTCAATTTAAAAAGCATTTACCATAAAAATGGCAGTATCTTTTTGTACAGATGCCACCTCTGAATCAAAGCCTTTCAGCAACTGGCAACAGGAAGCTCTAATGCACTTTATCCCTAATAGTTATAAAATACGCAATCATCTGAAATCACATATTGATTTCATATTGATTTCCACTTCTTTTCTAACTACGGTTATACGTAAATATTTCACTTTCAAAAATAGATCTTTGCCTTTTTATTTAGTTTTTTTTTTCCTTGGCTTAGAAATAGTTTTTATGAAATATTCAAATATAAAAATAGTCTGTAAAAGCAAAGTATGGTTCTTTTTCAGCCAAAACACTTTCCCCTAAGCATTTCATTAGTTATATAAGTGATAAATGTTTTTCTGAATGGGAATTTACCTAAAGTGTTTCAAAATTAGGTGACCATTTGTGCTTTCCAAACCATACAGAACTTTATATTTATTCCTGGGTAAATCACCCATTTCCTTGTTCATCAAGATCAGGTGAAATGATATCCATATGAGATAATTAATTCCTCTGCTATCTATTTTATTATACTTAGTTATCCATTGAAAATAAATATCTACTATAACAAGTAAAATATATAATAGTGTAGAAGACAAAAGAGTATGTGTTTGCAGTATGTGTAATAGAGTTAAATATATCTAAATATAGTATGTCTGTATTAAGGCAATGAACATCAATTTTAGCTAATCACCCTCATTAAAGCAAAGGGCACTACCATATGTGACATAGTTATCATTGACAGTCTGATAAATCTTGTAGCTGAGGTAACGGACAGGGAAGAGTTTGTGATAGTGAAATATGTAGAACTAAGATCAAATTACCAAATACATAGGCATTATTAAACAAATTCTCACCAATTACTTCAAAAATATTGTAACTTCTATTTAATATTTCTTGTTTTTAATCTTAAAAACTCTAAATTGAGTAGAATTTGAAATAGCAGTAAATTTCAGGTTAATGGAAATAAAATCACACTTGTTATTATTGTTCAATTTTTTTTATTAAGTCTGAAGAAATATTTAATTGAATATGACATCTAAGAATGATGGACAAAAGCTTTTTTTCTTTCCACTCCTTTTTCTGAAAGCTTTGATACAAAAATCATTTGACACAAATGATTTTTTTGTGTGTGACAGGATCTTACTATGTTGCCCAGGCTGAAGTGCAGTGTGCTCATGCAATCCTCCCATCTCAGCCTCCTGAGTAGCTGGGACTACAGGCACATGCCGCCATGCCCAGCTAATTTTTGTATCTTTAGTAGAAACAAGATTTTGCCACATTGCCCAGGCTGGTCTCCAACTCGTGGGCTGAAGTGATCTGCCCACCTTGGCCTCCCAGTGTTCTGGGATTACAGGAGTGAGCCACTGTACCCGGCTGATGCAAATGATTTCTATTATTAATATCTTGCAGTTATTCTTCCATCAGATAACCATCAATGTCAAAATAAAGATTATTAATTACTGAAGGACTGAAAAATCAAAAATCAACTTCATGAGATGCTTTACAAACAAGTGATCTCTTTTAATATTTGACTCAGTAAAATTTTTTAAGAAAAGTTAAGTTTGTGTTTTTATTTGTGTATACTCTCTAGTGCTTAAATGTATCAGGATAGAACTTTTCTAAACTAGGTCAGTCTTTTTTCTATATCTATGGTTGAATACTTCAGTTAAATAAAGCAATGGTAGATAGCAAACTATGTTATAATTGGCATTTTGGGCACTTGCTGCAATTAATTGCCAAAAAAAGCATGTCTCACCACAATTGATCTCTCATTTTTCCACTCTCATTTATTTCCCTTCACTTTCTTCTTGGCTTCTGCAAAAGCATTTGTTTTTCCTTTTTCTTTCTTCTTTAAAAAAATATATTTGAAGAGATTTACTCTAAGCCAAATATGAGTCACCATGGCCAGTGACACAGCATTCAGGAGGTCCTGAGAACATGTGCCCAAGGTGGTTGGGAGGCAGCTTGCTTTTATACATTTTAGAGAGGCATGAGACATCAAGTAACTACACTTGAGAAATACATCAGTTTGATCCAGAAAGGTGGGACAACTCAAAGCAGAGGGAGTGGGGGTGGGAGGGGTTGGGGGTGGCAGGGGGGTTGGGGGATGGGAGGGTATTGGGGTTTGGGGGTTGGTTCCAGGCTATAGGTGAATTTAAACATTTTCTGGTTGATAATTGGTTGAGTTTGTTTCAAGACCTGGGATTGATAGAAAGGGAATGTTCAGGTTAAGATAAAAGATTGTGGAGACCAAGGTTCTTTTGAAGTCATAACAGTGGCTGCCGTTAGAGACAATAAATGACAACTGTTTCCTATTCAGATCTTTAAAAGGTACTAGACTTTTAGTTAATCTCTTTAGGACTGGGAGGGCCGTTTTTACATATTATAATTTATCTCCTTCATGTCTGTAACAAAGATAGGAATCGCTATAAAGTGTCTTCCCAGTTTCTGCCTAACCACATCCCTGGATTTCCTGGCCCCTGGCTTGGCATATGTTTGGGGTTAGCCTTCTCCCACTGCTAATTTGTATGCCATAAGATGGTTGTTTTGTTCCTCAGTATATTTATGTCAGATATAATTGTTACTGTAGTAAACAACTATTGTGTAAAACAATGATAAGTGAGTGTGAAAGTAAAAAAACAAATCAGAAAATGAAGCAGAATGTAAATAATTGATAAAGACAAGTTCTGAAAAAATGTCAAATTGGATTTAGGAGTCAGACACCTGTAAGAGGTTTATTTGAGGGGCTAAGCGTGCTGGTATTTACACACATATTACTTCTTGTGTCTCTTCAATTTATTGGTTCATTTAAAAAAACCAAAGCTAAAAATCATAAAATATGCATTATGTAAAAAAAAAGAATGTTCAATGAATCCATACATACATACCGAAGACCTTTGTCGGATAGTTGACAAGTATATTTGCATATATGTTTTCCAAGGTAAAAGAAAATTTGTGGCTGGGCACGGCAACTCATGCCTGCAATCCCAGCATTTCAGGAGGCCAAGGCCGGTGGATCAGCTGAAGTCAGGCATCCAAGACCAGCCTGGCCAACACGGTGAAACCCCATCTCTACTAAAAATACAAAAAAATAGCTGGGCGTGGTGGCTGGCACCTGTAATCCCAGCTACTTGGGAGGCCGAAGCAAGAGAATTGCTTGAACCCGGGAGGCAGAGTTTGCAGTAAGCTGAGATCAAGCCACTGCACTACAGCCTGGGCAACAAGAGTGAAACTCTGTCTCAAAAAAAAAAAAAAAGAAAGAAAAAGAAAAAGAAAAAAGAAAATTTGTAGGATATGGATAAGTAATTCATTTTAGAAGAATTTTTTTTTGTAGAATGATTTGTGCTAAAGCAATACATCTCTTTCTATCATATACTGATATCTTGAAAATTTTATAACGTTTCTTGTCACATTCAGTATTTTAAAAATAGGATTGATTCTAAGTTTTGAGTTTATGGTGCATTTGAATATTAGAGATATTATCTCATACATTTCAAAGCTTTGCTGCATTCTAAACTCAGTCCTGCCTTAGCCTTAGTAATGGCAATGAAGTGCGGGGATAGAATGTTCACTATTTTTTTATGTGCTGTTAAAATTTCATACCTCCTGTTCTATCTTGAAGTCTTACAGTTTTGGAATGGTGAGTGGGGGAAACAAGCATAAAACTATTACATAATTCATGTAGTTTTCACTGGGCAACAGTATCTATCCTCTGAATGGTGAAATGGCTACTTTTCATTTATTTATTTTTTTCTTTCCTGGGGTAAAATGCTTGAAAACTGCACCACTGGGAAATTGCAGCTATAGTCCATGTTTCAACATAGTCCATGCTTCTTTGAGTTGGCCACTTAATGTTTACTCTCATCTCCTTAGGTTTAGCAGTAAAGACCAGTAAGATTTCTTCTGTTAGGATCATCTAGCCATTCCAAGCATTTCTCTTAGATTTGATTCTTTCAAGACAAATCAACCCAATAAAAAGCTCATAAATAACAGTGATCTAGCTACCACATTTGATGTTCTCATCTGACCAAACCAAATTTTATGTATACATTCAATTCTCAATCCAACCTAGTCTGTTTGCCTAAACCATTCCAGACAAACTTCCACTTCGAAGGTTTTAAATGCATAAGTCAGATAGCAATCCTTCAGTTGCCCCAGAGGCACATCACGTTCTTTGAATGCTTCATTATAGTCCTCTTCATTTAGCAATCAGTGAGGCAATACACTGGCATCATGATCCCTTTTTTTAGGAACTCTGTACAAAATTCCCTTTGAAAATATAAATTTTGGAAATGAGTGATGAGCAAAGGGGTTTCATTAACATTATCACAATCTCTTGATATATCTGCTTGATAATGTAGCACCTATTATTTGGGGCCATTAGGACCTTGGCTGAAATTCTGGTAAATGTAAAGAAACCACATTTAACATCCAGTTAATTTAATTTTTGTTTGTTTGTTTGTTTTGTTTTTGTTTTTGTTTTTGAGACGTTGTCTTACTATGTCACCCAGGCTAGAGTGCAGTGGTGTGATCTCGACTCACTGCAACCTCCACCTCCACCTTCTGGGTTCAAGCAATTATCTTCCTCAGCCTGGGATTACAGGAACCCACCACCATGCCCACCTAATTTTGTATTTTTAGTAAAGACGGGGTTTCACTATCTTGGTCAGGCTAGTCTTGAAGGCCTGACCTCGTGATCCACCTGCCTCGACCTCCCAAAGTGCTGGAATTACAGGCATGAGCCACCTTGCCTGGCCTCAATATTGTTTTTAATAATTTCTGCTTTACTTGCAGTTAATCCTATCAGGCCTTCTACCATACCCAGTTGTGTCAGCAAGATCTGTACAATGATAAGTAACACATGGCTCCCAGGGCTAAACATATTCCTAACACTTATATAAACACTTTTTCAGAAATTTGACAATATTTTATAATTAAACAATATCTTATTTTACAAGAAAAGATATGGTATCACAATACTCTGAGCAAAGAGTTAATTTGCTTCTCAAATTTCCTAGATAATGAAGTAGTCCTAAAATATTTAACTCAGTATTGGTAATAGTTTCAATTTGAGGAAGTGTTCTGAATAGCCTTTTTAATGCTGATGTCATAAGATTGTGTTACAAACACACTTTCATTTAAAGACACTTTATTTTTAATTTTGTTCTAAAAAATAAAATTATATATAAATACACATGCATCCTAAACTATATATGTATAATATACATATATGTATATATATACACACAGAGAGAGAGAGAGAGAAGGAGAGAGAAACAGAGACAAAGAGAGCCATAAATCCTGAATTTGTTGTTGTCAGTGGTGTTTGATAGCATCACTTTGTAACTCAATAGGATGTATCTGCACAAAGCTAAAATTAATTTATTTTTGCCATACAAGGCAAGTGTATCTTGTTGATGTCTATAGAGAAAATAAATCACCCTCTAAAGAACGGTTTATAAATAAATAATTGATATCTGAAAATTCAGAAAAAAATACCACTATCATTTTACTTACCATATTGCATTGAAATTATATGTTTATGCTTCTCTTGCTTCTACCTCTCTGTGAATTCAAGGTTAGAAAAGGAGAAATTTTTATCTTAGCATTCCCAGGACCAATCACAATATCTAATACTTAGAGCATGCAATAAATGTTGGTTGAACTAAAATAAATCTGATATAAAAACAAATAATGCTTTAGGGAAGTGATTTTTCATTTGAGATTATTTTCTCAGAAAAATTAACATGACCAGGTTGTCATCCTATGCAAACATTAGTATGCCTTATTGATTTTTCACTAAGTTATATAGCTTATATTATAAGACTTTTTTATGGGTGTCTCTACCTATAGATTCCAGGCACTAACAAACATGTAGAAACTCATAAATTTAATGCATTTTATCAAGTTGATTAATATAGCATGAACATTTTTCAACTGGCTTCACAAATCATTTATTTTTAAATGTCATTCTTATACCTGTATTAGAGAGAAAAAAGCCAGAGGTGGCAAGGTGATATACAGATCAACTGGAAATCCACAAGTTTTGGTTTGGAACTCTTTGGAAAATTGAATAAAGAGTCACACCTTGCTCAAAACTGAATCAGTAAAAGTGATGTACATATCAATAAACAAACTTCTCTAATAAAAAAGCATTAAAAATATAGTCAGCATATATTTTTTGGAATATAAAATTGAGGAACTAGAATAATTCAACTTGAATAAGTGTAACTAATTCATTTTCTGCAAAATATTACCCAGAGATTGAGTATTTTTCTATTTATTCTATTGGAAAAAAATGATATACCACTGTACTGGAAATATTCAGAAAAGTTTGTCTATTTTTTAAAATTGTACTTATTATACCTTTATAACCGTGAGATAATATATTTATTATTTGAATGAGAATAAATGTTTATGATTTATACAAAAATGCCTGACACAGACTACTATGCCCACAAAAGTTGAATGGTTGTTTTTAGCTTATATATACCTATACAGGTTAATAGATATATCTTTACTTCTTTTTTCTTTTTTTTTGAGACAGAGTCTCACTCTGCAGCCCAGGTTGGAGTGCAGTGACATGATCTCGGCTCACTGCAACTCCGCCTCCCAAGTTCACGCTATCCTCCTACCTCAGCCTCCTGAATAGCTGGGACTACAGGTGCCCGCCACCACGCCCGTCTTATTTTTTGTATTTTTAGTAGCGATGGGGTTTCACCGTGTTAGCCAGGATGGTCTCAATCTCCTGACATTGTGATCCGCCTGCCTCAGCCTCCCAAAGTGCTGGGATTATAGGCGCGAGCCACCGCACCCGGCCAATATATCTTTACTTCTTATAAGAAATGAGTAACTTTATTAATTCTACCAACAGATAACATTCTTCCTCTCAGAGAGTAATATGCAATCATTTCCTAACCTTATTTTATTGCGCTATATTTTAAATATAATAAACGTGTCAAAAATGTGGTTTCGTACTTTTTATAAATTGATATATTTACCTAATTACACTAAATCTAGAAAATACTATTGTGCTTATTCAAACTTCTCTTCTCTTCTTCAGAGGCAAACCTGTATAATTTCTTTGGTTTGTTTGTTTTAAGACGTAGTCTTACTCTGTTACCCAGGCTAGAGTGCAGTGGTACAATGTGAGGTCACTGCAACCTCCGCCTCCCGGGTTCAAGCGATTCTCCGGCTTCAGCATCCCAATTAACTCGGATTAAACCCTTATAATTTCTATCATGATTGATTAATTTTGTTCATCTTCAAATTCCAATAATTAGAATTCCTACAGGATGTGTGTGTGAGTGTGTATCTGGTTTATTTTCTTTAGCATAAATAAATATTTGAGATTTAGCCAAATATTTGTGCGTATCATTTGTTTATTTTTCCTCATATTTCTGAGTTGCCTATGTATTTGTCAGAGTTTGCTTATTCATTAGTCTGTTAGTGAATATTCAGATTGCTTTCAGAATTAGCTTTTACAAATAAAGGACTTAGGTACATTCTCAAACAGGTTTTTGTGTAAATATATGCTTTTATTTTTGTTGGATAAATTTCTAGAATTGAAATTGCTGTGCTATAGGGTAGATATATGTTGGCCTTATTTAGAAGCGAATTATTTTTCAAAGCGGTTGTTCCGCTTTTTTTTTTTTTTTTTTTTTTTTTTTTTTTTTTTTTGAGACACAGTCTCGCGCTGTCGCCCGGGCTGGAGTGCACTGGCGTGATCTGGGCTCACCGCAAGCTCCACTTCTCAGGTTCACGCCATTCTCCTGCCTCAGCTTCCTGATTAGTTGGGACTACAGGCGCCCGCCACCACACCCGTCTAATTTTTTTTTTTTTTTTGTATTTTTAGTAGAGACGGGGTTTCACCATGTTAGCCAGGATAGTCTCGATCTCATGACCCCGTGATCCACCCGCCTCGGCCCCCCAAAGTGCTGTGATTACAGGCATGAGCCACCGCGCCCAGCCGGTTGTTCTATTTTACACTCTCACAAGAAATAGACATGACTTCTAGTTTCCCCACATATTTGCCAATATTAGTATTATCATTTTAAATGGTAGTCTTTCCAGTTTCAATGCATTTTGGTTGCATTTCCCCTTATCTAATAATATTGAGCATCTTTTCACATTCCTATAAGCCACTTGTATCTCTTGTTTTGTGAAATACCTGTTCAAGATTCTTATAACTATTTAGTGGATCTCAGGAGTACTCTGTGCGTTTTGAACACGCAATTTTTTTCTCATACATATATGGAATAATTTATCACAGTCTATGGCTTAAAATTATATTTTCTTACATTTTGCAGTTTTATTAGGATACATTTTTAATTAATATCTACAATTTATCAATTTTTACTCTTATGATAGTGCTTTCTCTGTTCAGAAATATTTTTCCTATTATAATAGCTCACAGATATTGTTTAATTTTTTTCTTTTAAAAGCTTTCTGAATTTTGCTTTTTCATTTTTATGCCTACATTAAAAATATCGGATTAGTTTTGTGTATACAAAGGACTGATGCATGTATTTTTTTAATATGAGAATGCATTTATTTCAAAAGCCTTTGTTAAAGACTTACTTTCCCCACTGAATTATCTACATGCCCTTATAAACATTTAATTTACTGCATAGGTGGAGGTCTAATTTTGAACCCATCTTTATCCTTATTATTTTTGTGTTATGATGCTTTGATACTGCAGCTTTCTTAGATGTCTGAAAATTGGCTCTATTTTTTTCTCAAAATTCTAGGTCCTATGAATTTTCCAAACAAATTTTGGAAACAGCTTGTGAATTTCTCTCAAAATGTTTGCCACAATTTACTACAGAGTTGTAGTAAATAGATATAGAATTCATTGTAGTCAATAAATTACAAACTATAGATTGCATTGATGCTTTTTTTTTTTTTTTGAGACAGAATCTCACCTTGTCACCCAGGTTGGAGTGCAGTGGCACAATCTCGGCTCACTGCAACCTCAGCCTCCCAGATTCAAGCAATTATCCTGCCTCAGCCTCCTGAGTAGCTGGGACTACAGGCCCGTGCCACCATGCCTGGCTAATTTTTTTGTATTTTTTTTTAGTAGAGACAGGGTTTTATCATGTTAGCCAGTATAGTCTTGATGTCCTGACCTTGTGATCCACCCACCTTGGCCTCCCAAAGTGCTGGGATTACAGGCATGAGCAACCGCGCCCAGCCCCTACTGCATTGATTCTAAAGATTAACTTCCAGAGAATTCACATCAAACAATGTTGCATCTTCAAATCTATGAATATGGTAGTTCTTTACATTTATTTAGGTCTTCTGTAATGTTTCTCTACAAGAAATTTTAAAAAGTTTTAGTGTGAAAGATTTTTAAAGGTTTCACTTAAATTATTCTTAACTATTTTTATACCATTAAAATTTTACTTTTAAATGTATTCTCAATTGTTTATTTCTAGTATTTAGAAATTCCATTAATTTTACATATTGTATTTTATGTATTGACCTTGCATTCTACACATTCTGCACCATTATTGAATTTGATTCTTATTATTCACAGCTTTTTAAATAAATGTATTAGGATTTTCTTCATACACAATATACATACATAAGTTCTGTGAATAAAAATATTTTTTCTTTTCACTTTTCAATTTTTATGCTTTTCATTTCTTGACCCCATGCAAATCTGAAATCCAGAGGGGCAGCCAAATCTTAAAGCTCCAAAATGATCTCCTTTGACTCCATGTCTCACATCCTGATCATGCAGATGCAAGAGGTGGGTTCCCATGGTATTGGGCAGCTCTGCCCCTGTGGCTTTGCGGGATATAGCCTGCCTTCTGGCTGCTTTTGTGGGCTGGTGTTGAGTGTCTGTGGCTTTCCCAGGCACATGGTGTTGTTGGTGGATCTAACATTCTGAGGTCTGGAGGATGGTGGCCCTCTTCCCACAGGTCCACCAGGCGGTGCCCCAGTAGGGACTCTGTGTGGGGGCTCCCACCCAACATTTCCCTTCCTCACTGCCCTAGCAGAGGTTGTCAATGAGGGCCCCATCCCTGCAGCAAACTTTTGCATGGGCATCCAGGTGTTTCCATATATCTTCTGAAATCTAAGCAGATGTTCCCAAACCTCAATTCTTGATTTCTGTGCATCCACAGGCTCAACACCACATGGAAGCTGCCAAGGCTTGGGGCTTCCACCCTATGAAGCAACAGCTCAAGCTGTACTTTGGTCCCTTTTAGTCACAGCTGGAGTGGCTGGGATGCAGGGCACCAACACCCTACACTGCACACAGCATGGGGACCCTGGGCCCAGCAAAACCATTTTCCTCTAGGCCTCTGAGACTGTGATGGGAAGGGCTGCTGTGAAGACTTCTAACATGCCAGGAGACATTTTCACCATTGTCTTGGGGATTGACATTCAGTTCCTTGTTACTTATGCAAATTTCTGCAGCCAGCTTAAATTTCTCCTCAGAAAATGGGTTTTTCTCTTCTATCACATTGTCAGGCTGCAAATTTTCTGAACTTTTATGCTCTGCTTGCCTTATAAACTGAATGCCTTTAAAAGCACCCAAGTCACTTCTTCAATGCTTTGCTGTTTAGAAATTTCTTCTGTCAGATACCCTAATTCATCTGTCAAGTTCTAAGTTTCACTAATCTTTAGGGCATGGGCAAAATGCTGTCAGTCTCTTTGCTAAAACATAACAAGAGTCAACTTTGCTCTAGTTTCTAACAAGTTCCTCAACTCCATCTGAGACCACATCAGCCTGGATCTCATTGTTCACATCATTATCAGCGTTTTGGTCAAAGCCATTCAAAACGTCTCTAGGAAGTTCCAAACTTTCCTGCATTTTCCTGTCTTCTGCTGAGCCCTTCAAACTGTTCCAACCCCCGCCTGTTACGCAGTTCCAAAATTGCTTCTGCATTTTCAGGTATCTTTTCAGCAGCATCCCACTCTACTGATACCAGTTTACTGTATTAGTCTGTTTTAATGCTGCTGATAAAGACATACCCAAGACTGGGCAATTGACAAAAGAAAAAAGGTTTAATTGGACTTACAGTTTCATGTAGCTGGGGAAGCCTCACAATCATGGTGGAAAGCAAAGAGGAGCAAGTCATAACTTACATGGATGGCAGCAGGCAAAGAGAGCTTGTGCAGGAAAACTCCCCCTTATAATAACCATCAGACCTCATGAGACTTACTCACTATCAGGAAAACAGCACAGGAAAAGCCTACCTCCATGATTCAATTACCTCCCACCAGGTTCCTCCCAAAAGGTATGGGAATTCAAGATGAGATTTGGGTGGGGACACAGCCAAACCACATCAATGAAGCTCTCTGTTGTATATGTTAATGCTGATAATGTTTTTTTGTTTTGTTTTTGAGGAGATCTTAGAGACGAAAAAGGGGAAGCTCCATTAAAATTGGTAAAGGAAGAAACATAATATGAAAGGAGGGAAATAATGAGGTAAAAGATGCAGAGACTGCTTTCCAGACAAAGTAAGAATGAACTTCACTTTGGAATAACAAAGCAGTGCTTGCTTGGCAAGGTGAGTCTTAGAATCTGACTAACATCAACAGGGCAGAGTCTCAGGTAATTAACAAAACCAGGAAGGAACAGGGAGCAGCAATGCTAAAACACAAGAAACCAGGTTACTTTGTCCTACTTCATAGTTGTTATTTTCCTAATCATTGGAGATAAGCTATGATTAACAGAAAAACTACCCATGTAAAATATTGTCACCCAACTTTTAAGAAAAACAAGAAAGAAGATACAAAACTTAGCAAACAGAATAAGTAATTTCAGAGAATCAGAATTAAGACAAGAAACAAATGTAATTACAGTAAGTGTAATTCATATCTTCAGAAACATGCAAGAAGAGGTTGCATTTTAGAAAATACTGATAATAGCTCTTGGATTAAAAACTCAACAGATGTTCTGAAGAGAACAATAGACATAGTTAAATATAGATCTAGCAAGTTTGAAGTTTAAAAGTTGAATAATTTTCTCTGAATCCAATGGCTAGGATAAAATGAAGAAAGGTAAAGGGAGGTAAAGTGAAGATAAAGAATTGTTGACGTAAAGTTGTTTAAAATGCTAGAAAAAAAAGGAAAGTAAACATAAAGATGGAAATAATTAAAGAACTAATTTAAATATTTTTTAGAACTAGAAATACTGTAGACTTGAGATTTAAAGTTTTCATAGAAGTATGAACTTATATTAATGGAGAAATTCTACTGATAGACATCTCTTGAAGAAGCAATGGGATACTAACGATTAGGACAGAATCATAAAGACTTCCAGAGTAGGAGGATAGAAAGGTAATTTTCAATGGAATAAGAAGTAGATAGAAAAGAAAATTTATTCTTAAACATGTAGATGTTGTTAATAACTGGGACAAGACCATCAATGTCTGAAGAAATTCCAAAAATAAAATAATAAAATTAACAAACAGATTTTTAGAATTACATCTGGCAGTCATAGAGCACAATAGCATACTTGAAAATAAGGAAAATATGGCCATTTTAATGATATTGATTCTTCCTATCCATGAGCATAGAATGTTTTTTCATTTGTTTCATCCTCTCTGATATCTTTGGTGTTTTTAGTTCTTACAGAGATCTTTCACCTCACTAGTTAGCTGTATTCCTAGGTATTTGATTCTTTTTGCAGCAATTGTGAATCAGATTGCATTCCTGATTTGGCTCTCCGCTTGACTCTTGTTGGTGTATGGGAATGCGAGTAATTTTTGTATGTTCTTTTTGTATCCTGAGACTCTGCCAAAGGTGTTTTTCATCTTAAGGAGCTTTCGGGCCTTAAGCTTTTGGGCCTATAAAGTTTTCTACATATAGGATCATGTAATCTACAGACAAGGATAGTTTGACGTCCTTTCTTCCTATTTGGGTACCTTTATTTCTTTCTCTTGCCTAACTGTTTTGGCAAGGACTTCCAATACTATGTTGAACAGGAGTGGTGAGAGAGGGCATCCTTGTCTTGTGCACAAAATACACTAAAATAAAATTGCTTAAAACTAGTGATAAAGAAAAATTCTCAAAGCAGCCAATGACAAAAACACGGTTTGCACAGAGGAACAAAAAATGCCAGCAAACATTTTATTGGAAACAAAGAAAATTAGAAGATAATGAAGCAACATCTTTAAAGTACTGGAAGATAAACATTGTCAGCTGGAAATTGTAGACTCAGAGAAACTATCTTTCAAGATGTAGGTGAAATAAAGATTTTGTTCTGGCACTTAGAACCT
Organism: Homo sapiens; assembly: GCF_000001405.40. NCBI lineage: Eukaryota > Metazoa > Chordata > Mammalia > Primates > Hominidae > Homo > Homo sapiens. Next base: position 74,474 of record NT_187374.1, read on the forward strand.
GAAATAAATCATCACCAGTAAAACAGCACTATAAAAAATGTTAAAGAAAATGTTTCAGGCAGACGTAAAATAATATCAAAAGGAAATTTGGATCTACATAGAAGAATGAAAAGCACTGGAAATGGTATCAACATGGTTAAATATATAAGATCCTTTTATTTCTGTTTGAATTCAATTGATTGTTTAAACAAGGGGTCAGCAAGCTATAGCTTCATGGGTGGACTGCCTGTTTATGTGAACAAATTTTTACTGAGATACATTCATGCTCATTTGTTTATGTATTATCAATGGGTGCTATAGAATTACAAAAGCAGAATTAAGTAGTTGTAACAGAGCCTAATGGCACACAAGCCTAAAATATTTAGCTTTTAAGGAAAGCATGTCCGGTTCTGGTGGCTCATGCCTGTAATCCCAGCATTTTGGGAGGCCGAGATGTGCGGATCACGAGGTCAGGAAATTGAGACCATCCTGGGCAACATGATGAAACCCTGTGTCTACTAAAAATACAAACATTAGCTGGGTGTGGTGGCATGTGCCTGTAATCCCAGCTACTCGGGAGGCTGAGGCAGGACAATCTCTTGAACCCGGGAGGCAGAGGTTGCAGTGAGCTGAGATGGCACTACTGCACTGCAGCCTGGTACAAAGCTAGACTCTGTCTCAAAAAAAAAAAAAAAAAAAAAAAAGAGAGAGAGAGAAGAAAACAACATTATTAACCTCTAATTTAAACAAGAATAATAACAATTTATAATGAGTTTAAAACATATATAAAAATAAATCACATGACAATAACAGAACAACAGTTAGGATAAAATAATGAAAATGTTGTTATTCATGATACTGTATGTAAAGTAGTATATTATAATTTGAAGGTAGAATGTGATGAGTTAAACATGTATACTACAAACTCAAAAGCAACCATTAAAATTAACAATATAGAGAGTTTTAATTCTCAAGTAAAAAAGGAGATAAGATGAAACCGTAAAATATATTTAATTCATAGAAAAGAAGGCAAACAAGAGGGAAAATAAGCAAAAAACAGATGGGATGGTAGGGGAAGCAAAATTTTATTACCATCTTCTTAGTTTTTTTTTTTTCCTCTGCTAAGCCTGAGAATTAAATTGATATAAGACAGATCAACAGGAAAATGCATACAAATTTATTTAATACATGCATTATGTGGCATGAGAGATTCTTTAAGGAAGGAAGACTCCATGACATAATCACTTATGTTCTGAAGTAGACACAGAGTAGTAAATTGTGAAATATGACAAGACAAAGGAGCTGGAACTAGTGTAGTTAATTGGGTGAAGAGGTGATTAACAGGATAAGGGTTGGTTTAACAAGGTATGTTTGTACAGGTTTCCCTTGCCTCAACTTCTCATCCTGGGTGATGAGACTGTTACTTTCCTTCTTGTATAAAGAGGGCAACTTTCATGTAGAAATTTTACCTCCTACTTTTAAGAAAAAGGAAAATCAGAGTGCTTTAAAGGAAAATCAGAGTGCCTTAAAGGAAAATCAGAGTGCTTTAAAGGAAAGTCAGAGTGCTTTAAAGGAAAATCAGAGTGCTTTTCTTGCATCTGCTATTTTTCAAGTGTCTTTAACTCAAAAAAATCAATATGCCAAAGTGGCACGTTTCGGGGTATCTGGTTCTGAATTCCTTCAGGAAAGATAGAAAGCAAAAGCAAAATAATAGGTTTAAAACTAAAAATATCCAGGTGCGGTGGCTCACGCCTATAATCCCAGCACTTTGGGAGACTGAGGTGGGCAGATCATGAAGTCAGGAGTTCGAGACCAGCCTGGCCAACATAGTGAAACCCTGTCTCTACTAAAAATACAAAAAATTAGCCAGGCATGGTGGTGGGCACCTGTAATGCCAGCTACTCAGAAGGCTGAGGCAGGAGAATGGCTTGAACCCAGGAGGCAGAGGTTGCAGTGAGCCAAGATCATCGCATTGCACTCCAGCCTGGGCAACAGAGCCAGACTCTGTCTCAAAAAAAAAAAAAAAAAAAAAGAAAAAAATATATATATGCACACATAACCACATTACATATAAATGGTCTAAATATACCAATTTAAAAGCAGATTGGATCAATAAAACAAGATCTAAGTTATTACTGTCTAGAAGAAATTCAAGAATATCCTAATAAAAGATATCTATGTAAAAACAATAGCTGGCATCATACTTAATGAAGAAAAATCAGTTTATTTCCCCCTATTTCAGGAACAAGATGAGTCCATTAACTCTTAGCACTTTGTTTTAACATTCCACTAGACGTTCTACCAAGTAAAATAGACAAAAAACATAAACAAAAGAATTACAGATGGGAAAGGAAAATGTAGATTGGTTTTATTTATAGACGGCATGTCTATGTAGAAAGTCCACTGAAATCTACAAAAACACTGCTGGCTATAATAAGTGAGTTAGCAACATAAAAAAGAAAAAAAGCAACATATTAAACTAATATTTCCATATACCAGCAATGAACAATAAAAAATTAAAATAAAAGTACTATTAATAATATCATGAAAAATGTAGAAGAATTAGGAATTAATCTATCAAATGATGTGAGTCTGGTACACTAAAACTCAAAACACTGCAGAAAGTTAAAGAAGACTTAAATAAATGGAAAGATGTAATATGAATATGGGTTAGAAAATTCACATGGTAAAATGTGATTATCCCTAAATATAGATTCAATACAATCCCAATTAAAATATTATTAGGCATTGTTTATAGGAATTTACACACTAATTTTAAAACTTCAGTAGAAATGCAAAGAGTCTAAAATAGCCAAAATAATTCTTAAAAATAAGAATATTTTTGAAGGATTAGCACAATCTAATGCCAAAGCTTATAAGGCTACAGTAATGAAAATAGTGTGATATTGGCATAAAGATAGACAGAAATGTCATTGGAAGATAATAGAAAATTCAGAAATATATGTACAGAATTTTGGTAAATTGGTGTTCTCCAAAGATACAAAGGTAATTCAGTAAATAAAAGATAGCCCTTCAACAAATTCTGCTGGAACAATTAGATGCTCATATGCAAAAAGTAGAACTTTAACACGTAACTCATGATACAAAAATTAATTTAGTACAGATCATATGCCTAAATGTAAAATGTAAAAACAAAGTGAAAAAAAGGAAGAAAAATTACGTATAGGAGAAAATATAGAAAAGTCTTTGACCTCAATACTACTTAGACATGACACAAACACCAGGTTTCATCAAAGTAGAAATTGACAACTCGAGTTCATCAAAATGTAAAACATATGTTCCTCAGGAAACACTGTAAAACAAATAGAAATATAAGACACTACTGAGAACAATATTTGCAAAATATATGTCTGGCAAAAAAGTTGTGTCCAGAAAATATAAGAACTCTCAAAACTTGATAATAAATGTAGTAACTCTAATAAAAGTAGGCAAATGGCTTAAATGAATACTTCTTCCCTAAAGAACATATGTAGATAGAAAGTAAACACATGGAAAGATCCTCAATATCATTAGTCATTAGGGAATTGATCTGTGTCTGTCAAAAATGGGTTGGGTACAGTTGCTCAAGCATGTAATCCCAGCACTTTGGAAGGTCAAGGCAGCAGGGTTTCTTGACCCCAGGAGTTAGAGAGCAGCCTGGGCAACGTAGTGAGATCCTGTCTCTACAAAAAAGAAAAAGACATGGCATGGTGTCTCTATTTAGCTAGGCATGGTGACACATGCCTGTAGTACCGGCTACTCGGAAGCTGAGGTGGGAGAATCACTTGAGCCCAGGAGGTGGAGCCTGCAGTGAACTATGGTTGTGCCAATGCACTCCAGCCTGCGTGACAGAGCAAGAACCCATCTCAAAAAAGAAAAAAAGAGGCCAGGCACAGTGGCTCACACCTGTAATCACAGCACTCTGGGAGGTCAAGGTGGGTGGATCACCTGAGGTCAAGAGATCGAGACCAGCCTGACCAACATGGGGAAACCCCATCTCTACTAAAAATACAAAAATTAGCTGGGCATGGTGATGTGCGCCTATATCCCAGCTACTTGGGAGGCTGAGGCAGGAGAACTGTTTGAACCCAGGAGGTGTAGATTGCAGTGAGCCGAGATTGTGCCATTGCACATTGCACTCCAGCCTGGGCAACAAGAGTGAAACTTCATCTCAAAAAAAAAAAAAAAAAAAGAAAGAAAGAAAGAAAAAAGAATGGCTAAAGTTAAAAAGGCTGGCCATGCCAAGTGTTGGCAAAACTATAGAGGACAACCAACATACATGCACTGCTAATGGTAAAGGAAATTAGTACAATGACTCTGGAAAAAGCCTTGTCAGTTTTTAAAATATTTTGACGTATGCACCTATCATATGACTGCCAATCAATTTGTAGGGAAATGAAAGTATATGTACATAAAAAACTTGTACCAAAACATTCACAGCACTTTTTTATGGGAGAGAGGGGCTAATAGTGAAGAGCATGTAACAATCAAATATTCATTAACAGATAAATGAATAAGCAAGCTTTGATATATCCATATTTTGAAATACTACAAGCAATAAAAGAAATGAAACTTTCATCCATACTATAAAATAGATTAATCTCAATAAATATGCTAATTAATAGAAGCCAGATCAAAAGAGAACAGTATGATATCATTTATATAAAAAGAGGCATTAGAGCCTAGTAGTTAAGAGTGCAGCTTCTGGAAGCAAAATCCTTAGTATGATTTTGGCTCATTGTCTGCAGCATTTATTTTATGTGCGCTCTTGAGGTTTTTACAGAAACAATATGCCTCAGTTTACTCATCTATATAATGACTATATCGATAGTCATCTACTTTATAAAATATAGTATTTTATAATGTAATACTTTATAATATATATTTGATATATATTTTAAAATGTCTTTATTATATTTTATAAAGTATAAATAATATAAAATAATGTCTATAGTTGTTGACTTATAAAAATAAAGATTAAATAAACAAAAATATGTGAAGCACTAGTTTACTACCTAGAAAATGGTACATTTTAAATATTTTCATGATTGTAATAAATAAATGTATCCTTATAATGTTATTTTATTAATAATAAACAAAAATTTATTTTTAGAATAATGAATATTATAATTATTTTTATTTTTAGAATAAATAATAATGAATAATATTATTATAATAATATTATTATTCATTCTTATATACCTTTGAAAAATCATAGGGTAAGATGATTGAAATTCTGTGTATAGCATCTCAGCAGATGAGATATATAAGAAAGAACCATTGCACCCCCATTTACTTAAATCAGTTATAGTTTAAGTTGTTTGAAAAAAGTCATTTATTGGAATCACCACATGACATCAATCAAGAGCAAAGTGTGTAGAATACTGTCAAGTTTTTCTCCAAGAATTTATTTCTGTTTTCAATTTGCAACTCACTGAAGCATTGAACATTTTATGAGCTCTACAACTAACAATGCCTGGGAATTTAAATATTTTCCATGGAATCTGTTTACTTCAAATGAAAAAAAAGGAGCAGATATGATAATGAATAATTTACCATGCGTATATGGTACAAAGTAGAATCTTTAAAAATAAAGACACAAACAGCAACAACCACAAAAACCTCAATTGTTTCTGCTTTTGTTCTATTTTTAGTGAACTTAAAATTTTAAGAGAAACTCTTTCTCCTTGTTTTTAACACGTGTAGAGAGAGGTGTGGAATATTGTAAAGCTTTTTATCTGATTCGGCCTGAGTCTCAATAGATGAAGATTCATCGAGTTTAGTAGGCCGAATAGTTTTTTCTAAAAGATATGTGACGCGTTAATCCTTGGAATCTTTGAATATAATGACACGTTAAACAGTGAATATTACCTTATACGGCAATGCTTGTGATTAAGTTAAGGACTTTAAGGGAAGGGGCTTATTCTGAAATATACTCACGGGTCTCTAATTCAATGACAAATGTTCTTTTTTTTTTTGAGATGGAGTCTTGTACTTTCGCCCAGGCTGGAGGGGTGCAGTGGTGCGATCTCTGCTCACTGCCACCTCTGCCTCCCGGGTTCAAGCAATTCTCCTGCCTCAGCCTCCTGAGGAGTGGGATTACAAGCGCCTGCCATCATGCCCAGATAATTTTTGTACTTTTATTCAAGGAAGGGTTTCACCATGTTAGCCAGGCTGGTCTCAAACTCCTGACCTCAAGTTATTCGCCCTCCTCGGCCTCCCAAATTGCTGGGATTACAGGCATGAGCCACTGTGCCTGGCCTGACAAATGTTTTTTTAAGAGTGAGTCAGAGGGAGACTTGACACACAGAAGAGGAGGCAATGTGACCAGGGAGCAGAGATTGGAGTGGCGCAGCCCCCAGAAGCTGGGGAAAAGGAATGCTGGCATGAGTAAAGGAATGCTGGCAGCCCCCAGAAGCTGGAAGATCCACAGAATGGATTCTCTCTAGGGACCTCAGAGCGAGTGTGGCCCCACTGTATTTAGGACTTCTAGCCTCTAGAACTGTTTTAGAATACATTGCTGTTGTTGAAGTCATTTAGTTTGTGTCAATTTGTTGTGATAGCCTAGGGAACTAATATAATGAAGCATGGAGAGAGAGAGAGAGAGAGAGAGAGGATAAAAGGTGAAAATCATGTGCCAAAACTAAAGAAAAGAGATGCTGACATTTGTGATTAAATAGAATAATTGCACTATTTAAGATTAATCACTTGAGCCTGGGAGGTGGAGGCTGTAGTGAGTCATCATGGTGCCACTGCATTCCAGCCTGCATGACAGAGAGAGACTCTGTCTTAGGAAAAAAAAAAAATTAAGGTGGTCCAGAATGCACCCAAGGATAAAATGCAAAGATGATCTTGCCCCATGTATGTTTTAGCATACTACTTAGGTACTATTTATTTTTTAATTATCTCCTTTTTACATTTTGACAATTTTATCCCAGTGGTCAAGCCTTGTATTAGAAAAGACAGAAAGAAGGAAAAGAAAGAAGGCAGGAAGGAAGGCAAGGGGAAGGAAAGGAAGTGGAAGGGAAGGGGAAGAGAAGGGGAAGAGAAGGGGAGGGGAAGGGGAGGGGAGGGGAAACGTTGCTTTGGACAGAATAAATGGGTAAGGGTTTCTATTTTAATTAGATTAAGATTAATTAGATTAAACCTCTGAGGAAGTCTTACTTGAGCTGAGAAACTAAATATGAGAGGGAGGAGTACCACTGCATTGGTTATAGATGGGGTAGAAGTCTACAAAAGAGTTCATTGAGGAATAGAGTAGTAAATAAGTGACTTAATGAGTTTGTGGCTGGGCGCAGTGGCTCAAACGTGTAATCCCAGCACTTTGGAAGGCCGAGGCGGGCGGATCACGAGGTCAGGGGATCAAGACCATCCTGGCTAACACGGTGAAACCCCGTCTCTACTAAACAAAATACAAGAAATTAGCCGGGCATGGTGGCGGGAGCCTGCAGTCCCAGCTACTCGGGAGGCTGAGGCAGGAGAATGGCGTGAACCCGGGAGGCGGAGGTTGCAGTGAGCCAAGATCACGGCACTGCACTCCAGCCTGGGGGATAGAGCGAGACTCTGTCTCCAAAAAAAATAAAATAAAATAAAATAATAAAATAATAATAATAATAATGAGTTTGTATTGTTCTTATTTTGCAAAAGAATGCAAGATCTGGGTAGAGAAAGGGCAAGAGGGAGGACTTCCCAGACTGAATCAATAATATTAACAGTATCAATCTGCCACTAATAATTATTTAAGAAAAGTATTTTTCTGCTTTCAGTTTTATTTATTAAATAGTTTCTGCTAGCCTAATGTTAAAGTCTGCCAACTAGTTCCTTCAAGTTAATCACATTCACTTTTGGTTCCCTCTTAACACATTAAGATATTTTATAACTCTGTGAGTTTAAAATCTGATGCAAATTCATTGTGGTCAGGCAAGATGCAAGACCAGTCGGGCAAATACACTTCCCTTATTTTTTATGGGTCTGAAATATCTTTTGTCTTGGGAGATGTATTATTATACAAAAGATCTATTTGGCAATTTATAGTTTGCTTTTTATCTATTCAATTGTTCCCTGGTATTCTTAGAACAGAAAAGCGAACCTTTTAAGAATAATAACATGCAAATTACCTTTAATTACTCTCTAGCTCTTTCAGTTAAACAAAAAAAAACCTCTCATTTTAGGTTCAGTTTGTAACTGAATAGAACATTTTATATCTAAACCCTTAATGGAAAGGCTTTCCTATTTCCCACAATTTTCTTTTCTATTTAATGTATTCTCTAAATTTAACACATTATTTAAAATGCCATCCATATACCTGATCAACTTGAAAAGATGGAGAAACACACAAGTAAAGCTTATTATCTGTTCACATTTTATTCTATGTTTCCATTTTCATAATCAAATAAATGTAGACTGTAAAATACTTATTTACAAATCTGTCTGATTTATATAATAAACTCTGAGGAAACTGGAATGAAGTAGTGCTACAAGCAAGGGACAGAATAAAGTTTTGTGTATTAATTACCTGATTTATACTTTAGTCCCTTTAAGTAAAAGAATGTAACAAATAGAAGGATAGTTATTAATATATTTGGAGGAGAAAGAAGGATAAAATGAAAGATACAATGTTCTTAAAAACGGAGAGTTTTATCTTTTTTCAGAAGTTTAAAAAATATTTAAACATTTCCCTTTATGTTAGCGCATATTTATGTTATACATTTCATTTACAAGTAATTGTATGGTAAATAGTTACAAAAACAACAAGGAAAAGCTTTGAGTTAAGGAGCTCATGATTTTCAGTGTAAAATACATGTTATTTGAGTAATTTGGGAAACTGACAGAAGCTTTCTTGCAGTCAAGAATGCTGCTCAAAAATTAATTTTAAAATAAAAATAAAAGAAAAAAAATCCTGAAAGCTTATGTAGCAAAACAAGTATTGTAGTCCATTACAAAAATTAGCCTTTTCTGAAATCATGTTAAAAAGCAAAAAGATCTTAGAGCAGAATTTCATGTACAGTTCATTTTGGGATTGATCTTACTTCCTTGATAGGTGGTCTTACTTCATCCTGTTGGAGCCCATCATGGAGAGCTGTTTTACAAATATTCTTAGCTCTACTACTCACATAAAAATTCAACCTATGACTCCTGTTTCTGATAAAGTAGCTATTTAAATTCATTAAGAATGTTTCATCATTTTAGTATGCAAAATGCATTGTTAGATTATGTAAGTGACACATACTATCTTAAAAGTTAATAAATCTCCCAGAAGAAATTAGACTCAGATGCTATATTTATTATGGAGAATTAAGAAATACCTAAGGTTACTGTGATCATCACTTAGGAGTTTTGAATCAATTATATGAGAAACTAAAGAAGAAGCTTTGACTGGAAAAAAAATGAACCAAAAAGAAAAAAATTATATAAAGTCATTTTATTGGACACACATGCTAAAAATTAGAAAAACCATACATTTTACTCTATCGATCTGTTAGGAAAAACTATAGAATATGATAGTGATTGCATTGATTCTACTTAGCAAATTAAATGCAAAACTAAGATATTCACCAAATATAAAATATAGTTATTTTCTAAGAAATAAAACTCACACATTCTGGTGGCAACTGCCATTTTTAGCAGAAACCAAAACTATTTCCTGTTAACATGAAGGAAAAACCATCATTGAACACTCAAGTAATAATCAGGGGACTAGGATGGACTTTCAGTAAGATACCACTGGAATATACCTGGACTAAATCTATTCTGACAAAATTAAGTATACCAACCGAATAGTTTTGTGTGTGCATTTGTTTTTACTATATACTTTTATAATCTCAAAAGTACCTAAAAGGAGGCAAAACAAGAAAGGATTTGTCTACAGAAAGTAAAAATAAGAATGATTATAAAATATTGTTAAAGAAAAGACACTGCACAGAATAGTCATGGAGATTTCTGTACTAATCACCTTGATCATAATGAATAATCACTGAATTTCACTGGCCTATTTTCCTCCACAAGATTCTATGTTAGGTAAGCAACTTTGGGTAATTCAATAATAGGAAAGATGTTTCTTTTATAACATATCTGATTTGTACAACTATTTGAAATACATTTTATGCTATAAAATAAAAATGGTAACTCTTATTTACACAGCTATTTATTGTGAATTTGTATAAAGACAGCTCATCCTTAGAACTTAATAGACTAGGATTCTTGGTAAAGTATATATTGTATATCTGAAAAATGTAACAGTGACAATATTAAAGTATTGCCACTTAGTGCTGTGTTACCTAAAGAAATTGTCACTTTCTGTCAGTCTTATCACTGACATTTAAATTTCAGATATAGGTGAATTCAATATTGAAGTGAATAGAGCTACCGATATTTGCTTTCCTAATATTCATGGAAGTTGTTGTTGACCTCTCATAGATAAATAAGCAAATAATATCTTCAAAAATATATCTAACTTGACTCAAATACTTCTAAGTATTTTGTCATTTGAAGGGATATGAGCAAGTTGAGAAGAAGAAATGTGGAGAGAGAAATATTCATGAAAACTAAATTTATAACATTAAACTATTGCTCAATTCTTAGAAATTTAATCACTACTTATATTTTAAAGCAAAATATTTTTGAACTTATTTAGAAAAATATGACTTCATCTCTCATATGTCCATTCAAAGTTTTAAACAAAGTATAAAAGGAAATTAAACAGTGGAGGAAATGAGAAAGGTCATAGGCATTCAAGAGGTTTCAACAAATTTCTGGAGGAATGAAAGGTAATTGAAGGATGTGTTAAAATAATTTCTATTATTATCTTTATAGATTTAGTGTCCAGTAAACATTTTATAAACAATCCAACTTGCTGTTTTGTGTTCTTGAACTTTATTTAAACTGAATTATATTGTACATATCCTTTTGTGACTTAATCATACCACTGCATATTACGTTTGTGAGAGTAAGCCACATTAACATATCTAAATAAAGTTATCTATGTTTTTCTAAAGTGTAGTATTCCACTGTATGAATCTACCACATTCTACTGTTGTTTAACTTTTACATTGCTTATAGTACTTAACTGAGCCTGTAAATATTTTGGATCACATTTCTTAATGGCCAACCACGTACATACAAAATAAGGAGTGAAAGCCAATTGCTGATTAGAATATATGGTCATCTTCAATATTACTGGGTAATACAAGCCTCTTTTTAAAACGGATATAATTTCCATTTCCAGGAAAGCATATGAAATTATTATTGCTCTATATGTTTGCCAGAAGTCTTTCTTGTCAGACTGTTTTTGGTCAATCTGTTGTATAAGTAATAATGTACATATAAAACATTTTCATTTGCATTTTTGTGTTAAAAATAAGTTAAAGTGATTCTAAATATGTATGGTGGACACTTATATTTTACATTTTATAAAGCACATGTGCAAGCCATTTTCTTTGTTTTACTGTCGGGTTTTCTGTAATTTTTACCTGGGTTTACATTTAAATATTGATCACCAAGGAATTGATTGTTACATATTATATAAGGTAAAGAATCTCTTTAATTATTTTCCATATGTATAGCCAGTTTTCTCACTCTCATTTATTGGCAAATTTATTTTTCACCACTGATCTATAATACTAGCTTTCTTACATATCATGGGTTCTTATATTTTCCTTACTGTAGTCTACCTATTCCATTTCATTGATTATTTATTACTTTGTTAATACCACATTGCATTAATTAAGTCTTATAATATTTCCTGTAATATATTCTTCCTTCCTCAATAAATTATTAACTGAATTTTAATATTTTTAGAGTTTACATAAATTCTAGAATTAGCTTGTCAATATCTAAATCAAACCTTACTGGGTTTTACTTTGGATGCACTAGTTACAAAGATTAATTTTGGGGAGAAGTGATTTCATTAAAGTCTTTCAATTCAAGAATATATTTATGTCAATGTTATGTCTATGTTTATTTGAACTTTATTTAAACTGAGTTATACTGTACATATTCTTTTGTGACTTAATCATACCACTAAATATTATGTTTGTGAGAGTAAGCCACATTGACACATCTAAATAAAGTTCTCTACTTATATGAAATGCATTTCAATATTGCATAATACGTTTGTGTCAAAGCATCTTGCTAAAAGCTCATATTCATTAGTATAATGTATCTTACAATCATTTTGAATTGTCTGTGTACTTAGTGTCATCGGTAACATAGTAATCTGTTTTCTCTTTCATAATTCTTATTTTTTTAATATTTACAATCCTATCCCAGTGTCTAAGACCTGCAAAAGGATAAATAAAATTGCTTGTACCATCTATGTTTATTTTGTTCCCAATCACAAAGGAAATATTTTAACATTCCATTGTTAAGTGTTATAATTTCAATAGAACTTTTGAAAACAAATGTTATTAGTTAAACTAGATTCTCTTTTAATTTTGGGTTGTTAAAATGTATGACTTTTTAAGAAAATAAAATTAAATATGCTTATAATATTGTTAAGTTATTTGTTGTGGTGTATCATATTAATTGATACCTTTACATGAGGCCATTATTGCTTCCCAGGGTTTCTTAGAATAAACATTGGCTGTGATGTCTTACATTTTAATGCATTGCTTATTTCTGCGTGGAACTTTTTTAAGTTTTCCTTCATTATTTTCATAAATTACATTGGTGTTTAATTTACTTTCCCTTTACTATCCTTGTCAGGTTATAATATCAGAGTCATAATAGCATAATAAAATGAAATAGAGTATGTTCTTTCCTGTTTCATGCTCAGAAAGAATTGTATGTAAGACTGGAATTATTGTTTTGTTTCATCTTTGAAACAACTTGCCAGTAAAGTCATCATGGCTTGAAATTATCTTTATGATATGATTTCTGACTACTGATTACATGCATTTGTTGTAGCACAATTCAGATTTTTCTTTTCACTTTAGGTTACTTTTGGAAAAATGCTTGTTTCAAGTAATTGCACACATTTTACATATATTTCCAAATTTATTGAAGGTTTTCATACTACACTAATTTACCTTCTTGATATTTGTATTATTTATAACAAAACTCAATAAACTGTGGCAAATAAGCCAGACAGTATTTATAAATAAAGTATTACTGGAACACTGTCATGCTCATTCATTGACATACTGTCAATTTATGCCACAACAATAGAATTGATTAGTTGCAACAAACCATATAGCCCAAAAACCTAAAATATTTACCACCTGATCCTTTCCAAAAAACAAAAAAAATTCTTGACATCTGATGTATAATTATTTCCTATTTTGATTCCTGAGATTGCATACTTGTTTCTTCTCTTAATTTTATCAAGCCATTTCTCCAGAGTTTTGTTATTGTATGGCTCCTACAACAACTAACAAACTTTTGGCCATATTTCTTGACTTTTCTTTCCCTGTATTCTTAATCACTATGCATGTATTTTTTATTTCCTTTTATTTCTGTTGATATTTCTAACTTCTTCCAATAAATTCAGAACATTTTAAATATTAATTTGTTGTCCTCATAAAATAAGAATTTAAGGTTCTACATTTTCCTCTAAAATGACACATTTTATAATGTAGTATACATTTTTTAATTAAAAATATTTTATAATTTCCATTATGATTTGCTCTTGGGTGTTGAGTTACTAAGAAGTATATTTCTGAGGTTTTTCTTCAATATGACTGACTATAGATATTCGAATCTAGTTATTCTCAGAAAGAGAAAGCAAAGTTATGGATAAATAATCATTAATTCCAATATCTATATTGACGGGAGTGCTAGAGCACCACAAGAAGAAACTTGAACACAGAAAAATAAGGAAGCAAAAATCCAGCAGAGATTATACTCTGAGGGACTTGATGTTCCATGGAAAAGCATAGGTGGGGGTGTCTTTTGCTCCTCTCACCCCTGTGGCAGACTGCTTGTTTCTGAACTGTTGGAGAGCCCTCCATTCTCACAAGCCCAAGCACTGGTGTGGGCTGCAATCTTGGAACAACTTGAGGACAGAGAACAAGGCTACTATTTCCTGCAGTGCCACTTGCCCTTCACCCAGCCCCAAGATGAGGTGGTGGGCACCATACTAGATATGCCTCTGTGGTGGACCTCTATACTGCCTTTGAGTGAGAGAGAGGCTTGCCCCATCCCGTTGACAGCTTCCTTCTCCATCCCTGCGTCGAGCTATGGCTAGATTTCTCCATGAGGGCAGAGGGCGAGAGGCGTGAGAAGCATCTTCTGGAAGGTCTGCGGGCACCCTCCTGCGGGTGGACAATAAGCGCCTGGGAGGCCGTTGTCCTTGGTTGGGGAGCGGTCGTCTGGATCTAGCCTAGCAAAGAGGCTGCTCCGGATGGGGAGGGAATGAAAGCCCCTGCGGCTCCCACGCAGATGCCCACGTTGCCCAGGCCTTCACAGACCCCCAAACCGGAACCGCCGGGAAAACGATTGCCAACCGGCCACAACACCCAGGCAGGGACGCGGGGAGAGGCTGACCAGAAGAAAGGCCGACGTGCAAGAAACCCAGCCTCCGGCGCACAGGGAACATGTGTCCCAAGGCGCACGCACACACAGACGGACAGAGACAGAAAGAGAGGGCGACGGAAAGAGCGAGAAGGGAGAGAGAGAGAGAGAGAGACTTAAGAGAGAGACAGTAGTGGGCACACAGACACGCACTTGCGCGCGCGCGCACACACACAGACACACAGACGCGCACACACACCCCCATAACGCACACAGATATACAGCAGGTAACACCCACCCCCAGGCAGCCCCTGAAGCTGCCGGGTTCTGCTCTCCGCGACTACGAGCCACCGGTGAGACAGCAGCCCACGGGCACACAGCGAGACCTGTCCTCGACATCACAAGGCCGCCACTTTTGGGGAGACTCACCCGCACACCGTCCGCGCACGCCTGAGGCTGGGATCCCGCGCTGCCTCCCCGGCGATCTGTCTGAGGTTTCTTCCTCCTGGGGTTTCTTCCTGCTGGTGGACCCTCCGCGAATCCCGGCCTCCGGAGACCGTCCCGGTAACTGCCCTGGCCGGGGCTGGTCTCAGCCCCGACTCTGACGCACGATCACACAGGGCTCCCACTTCGCCAAGTCTCAGGGACCCATCCCTTGGCAACGGTGGCGGTCACTGTGACCGAAGCGGCGGCTCGGGCCTCGCGCATGAGCGCTGGCGAGGCCGACTCACCCGCCCCACCCCCCCTTACTCGGCAGTCAGGCTGCGGACCCTTTAAAAAATGGCGGCGACGCCGCGGCTGCGGGGACTGGGGTGGCGGTGCTGGAGCTTGCGGCGGCGGCTGCGGTGCAGCCCCAGGCGGTGGGTGGGAAGAGGACTACCAGAGGGGCCTGCGGGAGACCCAGGGTCGGACCCATAGGAGTCCTGTCGTCAGGACCTCCTTGATCGGTCTTCTGCTTGGGTTCCCGGTGAAGGAGGAGCTTCGGGGTGCCGGCTGGGCTGCGCGGACTCCTCTTGGGATCCGATGATGGATCCCACCCGGTGATCGGGAATGGGGTTACAATGCAGTGAGGCGGAAAGGCGCTCGCCAGGGCGCAGAAAGATCCCCAGGGCCGCAAGGCGTGCTGTCGGCTGCAAAGGCACTGACCCACGAGCCCACTGCCTCCCTCCTTCCTGGGTGGAGCAGGGGCCTGCCTTCATCTCCAAGGCCCGGGGGTTCCGGCATCTCGACGCGGCTTCCGGCGACACGGGCAAAGAGAGACAGAGGGTAGTCCGAGCCGGAGCCAGTGTGACCACACGTGGCCCTGACGTCCCCCAAGAGCACATGCAGTGAGCCCGTGTCTCTGAGGCCGTAGTGGGCGACGACGAGACGGACAGTGATGTCCAGGCCTGCGCCCGGGGGCCACTGGAGACCTGCCCCTCAAAGCGGAGGAAACTGCCAAGCGCACCTGAAAACCTGCGAGACAGGGCCTGTGCGCGAGTCCAGTACTCCTACTTCGCCAAGTCTCAGGGACCCATCCCCCAGCAACGGTGGCGGCACAGAGAGGTGCACGGCGCCGGCGCAGGTTCAGAGAGATAGGAGGCTGATGGGGGGAAGTTGAGGCACCTGGGGCAGAGAAGAAAATGCATCGCCAAGCGGTTTCTGGGTCATACACGGACGAAAATGTCTTCCCATCAGCCCTTGCGCTGGTCCCCAGGGACCCTGGCATCCGTCGTTGGCGCCCAGGGTTCGCGTCGGGCCACTAGGGGTACCCCAACTCGGACAGAAGGCCCATGAGTTGAATTTGAAGTTTGTGGGAATAGAGGTGAGGCACCAGGGGCAGAAAAAAAAACAGGAGACCTCGCCTCAGACAAGCGGGGCCTGGGTCCCCCATGGATGAAAGTGCCTTCCCATTATGCCATACGCTGGGCAGAGTGGACAGTGACGACCTTAGTTCAAGCCCATGGTGCGCTTCGGGACCGCTTGCGGTACCAGAAAGCGAACAAATGGTCCATGAGCGGAAGGTGGGCACCTGAGGCAGAGAAAGTAAAGAAACGCGCTGCCGAGAAGCAGTGCCTGGGTCCCTCACGGAGGAAATTGTCTTCTCGTCAGCCCGTTCGCTGGGCACTGACATCCCTGGCGTCTCTGGTTTGATCCCAGGGTACGCCTCGGGCCACTAGTGTTACCCCAAGGTGGGCAGAAAGCCCATAAGGGGAAGGTGAGGCACCTGGGGCAGAGAAAAAAAAAACTTCGCCGCAGAGAAGCGCGGCCTGATTCCCCACGGACGAAAGTGTCTTCTCATCAGTCCCTGCACTGGGACCTGGGGACCCTGGTGTCCCTGGTTCGAGCTCAGTGTGAGCCTCAGCCGCTAAGTGCACCCCAAGGGGAGCTTTGGGAGCACAAAGCCCATGAGGGAAGGTGAGTTTTGAGGGAGGAGTGGTGAGGCACCTGTCACAGAAAAAGAAAAAAAAAACAATCCGCGCCACGGAGAAGCAGGGCCTGGGTCCCCCACGATGAAAATGCCTTCCCATCAGCTCCTGCTCTGGGCCCTGTGGACCCTGGAGACCCTGGTTCGAGCCACGGGTGGGCCTCGGGCCCGCTAGGAATACCCCCCGTGCGCCTCTCTGCGCCTGCGCAGGCGCCGCGTGCCTTTGCGAGGGCGGAGCTGCCTTCTCCTCAGCACAGACCCGGAGAGCATTGCCAGGGCGGAGGTGAGTTCTCCTCTGCACAGACTTCGGAGATACAGCAAAGCGGATCATGTGCTCCTCAGCACAGACCCGGGCGGGCGGGCCAGGGGCACCGCGAGGGCGGAGCTGCGTTCTGCTCAGCACACACCCGGGGGACACCGCGAAGGCAGAGCAGCGTTCTCAGCACAGACCTTGGGGGCACTGCCTCGCTTTGGGACTACTCAGAGCCGCATCGATGGTGAATAAAATCCTTCCTGTTTGCAGCCCTGAATAATCAGGGTCAGAGACCAGTTAGAAGGGTTCAGTGTGGAAAACGGGAAAGCAAAAGCCCCTCTGAATCCTACCCACCGAGGTTCTCCCCAGCCAAGGCGAGGCGGCCGCAGTGCGAGATCCACACCACAGCCTCGGAAGACAAGCGAGCAGAAATCCCATGAGGGGCAGTTGAGGTTTGAGGAAGGCGAGGTGAGGCACCTGTGGCAGAAAAAAAAAAAACCGCACCACGGAGAAGCAGAGCCTGGGTCCCCAACGGACAAAAGTGTCTTCCCATTAGCCCTTGCGCTGGGCCCAGGTGACCCTGGCATTCCTGGTTCGAGACCAGGGTGCGCTTCAGGCCGCTAGGGGTACCCAAAAGCGGGCAGAAGGCCCATGAGGTGAAGGTGATGCACCTGGGGCAGAGAAAAAAAAAAAACAACCGCGCCGCGTATAAGCGGGGCCTGGCTCCCCCACAGAAGAAACTGTCCTCACATCAGCGCTTGCGTTGCGCCCCAGGGACCCTGGTATCCCTGGCTCGAGCCCAGCGTGCGCCTCGGCCTGCTAGGGGTACCCCAAGGCAGACAGAAGGCCCATGAGGGAAAGGTGAGACACCTGGGGCAGAGAAAAAAATAAAAAAACTGCGCCGCCCAGAAGTGGGGCCTGGGTCCCCCACAGACGAACGTCCCTACCCATCAGCCCTGAACTGGGCCCCGGAGACCCTAGCGTCCCTGGCTCGAAACCAGGGTGCGCTTTGGACCCGCTAGTGGTACCTCAAGGCGGGCAGAAAGCCCATGAGGGGAAGGTGAGGCACCTGGGGAAAAGCGAAAAAAACAAAAACAAAAACAAAAACGTCGCAGAGAAGCAGAGCCTGGGTCCCCGAGGAAGAAAGTGTCTTCGCATCAGCCCTTGCGCTGGGCCCCGGGGACCCTGGTGTCCCAGTTTCGAACCCAGGGTGTGCGTCTGGCCACTAGGTGTACCCCAAGGCAGACAGAAGGCCCATGAGGGGAAGGTGAGGTTTGAGGGAGGAGCGGTGAGGCACCTGTGGCAGAAAAAAAAAAAACGCGCCACGGAGAAGCAGGGCATGGGTCCCCCACGGACGAAAGTGCCTTCCCATCAGGCCCTGCGCTGAGCCCCGTGGACCCTGGCGACCTTGGCTCAAACCCAGGGTGCGCCTCGGGCGGTTAGGGGTACCCCAAGGCGGGCAGAAAGCCCATGAGGGGAAGTTGAGGTTTGAGGGAGGAGAGGTGAGGCACCTGTGGCAGGAAAAAAAAAAAAAAACCGCACCGCGGAGAAGCGGGGCTTGGGTCCGGCACGGACGAAAGTGTCTTCCCATCAGCCCTTGCGCTGCGCCCCGGGGACCCTGACGACCCTGATTCGAGCCGAGGGTGCGCCTCGGTCCACTAGGGGTACCCCAAAGCAGGCAGATGGCTCATGAGGGGAAGGTGAGGTACCTGGGGAAGCCAAAAGAAAAAAAAAACTGCGCCGCGGAGAAGCGGTGCCTGGGTCCCCCACGGACGAAAGTGTCTTCCTATCAGCCCTTGCACTGGGCCCCGGGAACCCTGGCGTCCCTGGTTCGACCTCATGGTTCGCCTTGGGCCGCTAGGGGTACCCCAAGGCGGGCAGAAGGCCCATGAGGCAAAGGTGAGGTTTGAGGGAGGAGAGGTGAGGCACCTGTGGCAGAAAAAAAAAACGCGCCACGGAGAAGGGGGGCCTGGGTCCCCCATTGACGAAAGTGCTTTACCATTAGCCCCTGCGCTTGGCCCCGTGCACCCTGGCGACCCTGGTTCGAACCCAGTGTGCGCCTCGGGCCGCTAGCCGTACCCCAAAGTGGGCAGAAGCCCATGAGGGGAAGGTGAGGCACCTGGGGCGGAGAAAAAAGGAAAAAACCTCGCCACGGAGAAGGGAGGCCTGGGTTCCCCACGAAAGAAAGTGCCTTCCCATCAGACCCGGTGCTAGGCCCCAGGGACCCTGGCATCCCTGGTTCGAGCCCAGGGTGCGCCTCGGGCCGCTGGGGGTACCCCAAGGCGGACAGAAAGCCCATGAGGGGAAGGTGAGGCACCTGTGGCAGAAAAAAAAAAAAAACCGCGCCGCAGTGAAGCTGGGCCTGGGTCCCCCACTTACGAAAGTGCCTTCCCATCAGGCCTTGCGCTGGACCTCGCGGACACTGGTGACCCTGGTTCGAGCCCAGGGTGCGCCTTGGGCCCGCTAGGGGTACCCAGAAGCGGGCAGAAGGCCCATGAGGGGTAGGTGAGGCACCTGAGGCAGAGAAAAAAAAAACTATGCCGCGGAGAAGCGGGGCCTGGGTCCCCCACGGAAGAAAGTGTCTTCCCATCAGCCCCTGAGCTGGGCCCACGGGACCCTGGCATCCCTGGTTCAAACCAGGGTGCGCTTCGGGCCTCTTGGGGTACCCCATGGTGGGCAGAAAGCCTATAAGGGGAAGGTGAGGTTTGAGGGAGGAGAGGTATGGCACCTGTGGCATAAAAGAAAAAAAAAAAAACCGCGCCACAGAGAAGCAGGGCCTGGGTCCCCCAAGGACGAAAGTGCCTTCTCATCTGCCCTTGTGCTGGGCCCCGGGGACCCTGTCGTCCCTGGCTCGAATCCAGGGTGCGCCTCTGGCCTGCTAGGGGTAACCCAAAGCGGGCAGAAGGCGCATGAGGGGAAGGTGAGTCACCTGGGGCAGAGAAAAAAAAAAAACACACAGCACTGCGGAGAAGCGGGGCCTGGGTCCCCCACGGGTGAAAGTGTCTCCCCATCAGCCCTTGCGCTGTGCCCTGGGGACCCTGGCATCCCTGGTTCGAGCCCAGGGTGCGCCTCTGGCCGCCGGGGTACCACAAGGTGGACAGAAGGCCCATGAGGGAAAGGTGAGGCACCTGGGGCAGAGAAAAAAAACTGTGCCACGGAGAAGCGGGGACTGGGTCCCCCACGGACGAAAGTGTATTCCCATGAACCCTTGCGTTGAGCCCCAGGGACCCTGGCGTCCCTGGTTCGAGTCCAGTGTGCACCTAAGGCGGCTAGGGGTACCCCAAGTCGAACAGAAGGCCCATGAGGGGAAGTGAGGTTTCAGGGAGTAGAGGTGAGGCACCTGTGGCAGGTGTCCATCTGTAAACTACTTATCCATGTGAGCCCTGATGTCCACCAGGGGCTGGATGTCCCCCTGGGGCTAGATGTTCGCCTGGAGCCTGGTGCCCACCTGGGGCCTGATATCCAGGAGAGGCTTAGTTATCCACCTATGGCCATCTGGAGCCAGATGCCCACCTGAGGTCTGGTGTACACCTAAGGCCCGATCTCTACCTGGGGCTTGGGTGTTCATGTGGGGCCTGATGTCCACCTAAGACCATGTGTTCACCTGGAGCCTGGGTGACCATCTGGGTTATGATGTTCAGCTGGGGCCCAGAGTTCAGCTAGGGACTGGGTCAACCTTCTGCTTGTTGCACACCTGGGGACTAGGTACCCACCTGGGCTCCAGTGTTCACTGGGGCCTTGTATTTACCTAGGACCAGTCCATCCATCTGGGGTCTGAGTGCCCTCATGGAGCCTGGAGTTTTCCTGGGGACTGGGGTCTGCCTTAGGCTTAAGTGTACATCTGTGGCCTCATGTCCACCTTGGGACAGATGTCCACCTGGGGACGGATATTCAGTAGGGGCCTGAGTGTCCACCTGGTTTTTGATGTCTACCTGGGGCCTGGTGTTCATCTGAGGTGTGATATCCACCTGGGGCCTGGACATTTGCCTGGAACCTGATGTACAGCTGGTGCCTGAAGTTCGTCTATGCCTGGTGTCTCCCTGGGGCCAGGTAGTCAAACACAGGGCCTGAATACCTTCTAGAGTTCAGTGTTCACCTGGGGTCCGAAGTCCACTTAGGGCTTGGGTGTCCAAATAGGGCCTGGTGTCAGCTTGAGATTTGTGTATTTACCTAGGGCCTGGTTGTCCACTTGGGGCTTGATTTTTCACTTGGTTTTTGTGTTAATCAGGGGTCTAGTGTCCACGTGGGGCCTGGGTATCCACCTAGGGACTATTGTCCAGCTGGAGACTAATGACTAACTATGGCCTGGTAATCACCTAAGGCTTTGTTTCACTTAGGTACTTGGTGCCAAACTGTTGCCTGCTGTTCACCTGGGGTATGGTGTCCACCTGGGGTCTGGATGTCAGCCTGGGGCTTGTTGTATACATGTATCTTAGATATCCAGATAAGGGTCTGTTTTCTGCTTAGGTGCAGCAGTCCATCTGGTGCTTGAGTGTCAACCTAAGGCCTGATGTCTATGTTGGACCTTGGGTTCACCTGAGGCCTGATATCCACCTGGGGCCTCAATGTCCAAATGGGGCCTGATGCCCATCTGGGTCCTGGGTGTCCACCTGCAGCATGGATGTCCACTGGTACTTTATGTCCACCAGGGGCCTAATGTCCACCTAAGACCTGGTGTTCACCTGGGGTCTGATGTTCAGCTGAAGACAGGATGTCCACCTGGAGCTGAGGAATCCACCCAGGGACTGGTGTTGAACTGGGGCCTGATGACCACCCGGGGACAAGGTACACATCAGGCTTGTTGTCCACCTGTCACCAGATGTCCACCTGAGTCCTGATGTCCATCTTGATCCTGTTTGTCCACATTAGGCCTGATGTCCAGCTGGGGCCTAGGTACCCACTGGGGGCTTCCTGTTAACCTGGGGACTGGTGTCATTCTGGGGCCTAATGACCACCTGGGTTGTATTATTCACCTAGGGCCTGGTGTCCATTTGGGGCTTGAGTGTAACCTTGGACCTGGCACCCACATAGGATTGGGTATCAAACTGGCCCCTTGGTGTCCAGTTAAGACATCATGTGAACCTGGCGCCTGAGTGTCCACATGGGTCCAAATGACTACTGGGGGCCTGAATGTCAACCTAGAATCTGAGGTTTACTAGGGGCCTAGGTATCCACCTGGGGCCCAATGTCCACCTGAGCCTGGGTGTCAACCTGGGGCCTGATGTAAACCTCTAGTTCACTATCCACCTTGGGCTTAATGTCAACCTGGAGCCCGATGTCCACCTGAGTACTGATGTTCACCTTTGACCTGATGTCCACCTGTGGACTGTTTATCCACCCATGGCCTGATGTTCACCTGGGGCTGAATGTCCAACTGTGACCTGTTGTGCACCTGGAACCTAGGCATCCACCTGCAGCCTGATGTTCAGCTGGGCTGGGACCTGGAGTTCACCTGAGGCATGATGTCCACCTGAAGCTTGATGTTCACCTGGGGGCTGGGTGTCCACTTGGGGCCCAATATCCACCTGGAGACTAGGTACCCACCTGGGATCTGGTGTTCACTCAAGATTGGTGTTCAGCTGTGGCCTAATGACCACCTGGGTCACGGTGTCTACCTTGGACTGGGTGCTCACCTGGAGCCAGTGTTCACTGGGGGCCTAGTGTGCACCTGAGACTGGGGGATGCACCTGGGGCCTGGTGTCTACCTGGTGCCTAGGTATCCACTTGGGGCCTAATGTTCATCTGGAATCTGATATCCACCTGGGGCCTTGTAATTACCTGGGTTCTGGGCATCCACCTAGGGCTTGAGTATCCTCCTGGGGCCTTGAGTTTTACTAGGGACTCGTGTCTGCCTTGGACCTGGGTGTATATCTGTTGCCTAATGTACACCTTGAGAGTGATGTCAACCTGGGGACAGATGTCCTCTTGGGGTCTGAGTGTACACCTGGTGTCTGATGTCTGCCTGGGGACTTGTGTTCACCTTAGACCTGATATTCACCTGGGGACTGGGCGTCCACGAGGGGCTGATGTTCAGCTGGACACTGGATATCCACCTGGGGCTTGGGGATCCATCCAGAAACTGATGTCAAACTGGGGCCTGATGTCTACCTGCGGACTAGGTATCCATGTGAGGCTTGATGTTCATCCACGGCCAGACGTCCATCTGATGCTTGATGTCCACCTTACTCCTGGGTGTCTACTAGAGACCTCATGTCCAACTAGAATTTAGGAACCTACTGGGGGCCTCGTGTAAACCTGGGGACTGGTATGAAGCTGGGTCCTAATGATCCCCTGGGTCATATTATTCACCTAGGGCCTCATGTCCACTTGGGGCTTCAGTGTCAAACTTAGGTCTTGTGTTCATCTTTGACCTGGTGTACACCTGGGACACCTACGGACTTGTTGTCCAATTGAGGTGTCATGACCACCTGGGGACTGAATGTCAATCTGGGGTCTGATGTAAACCTCTAGTTCAGTATCCACCTGGGCCTGGTCTTCGCTTGGGGCCTGCTGTCTACCTGGGCCTTGCTGTCAACCTAGGGCCTGATGTAAACCTCTAGTTCAGTATCCACCTGGGGTCAGATGTCTTCCTAGAGACTTATATTCACTTTTGACCTGATGTCCACCTGGGGACTTGCTATCCATCCATGGTCTGATATTCACCTGGAGACAGATGTTCAACTGTGGTCAGAAGTGCTCCTGGGGTCTGGGCTTCCACCTGGAGCCTGATGTTTAGCTGGGGCTAGAGTTCACATGGAGAATGATGTCCACCTGAAGTTTGATGTTTACCTGGGGCCTGATACCTACCTGGTGCCCAAGTATTCTCATGTGCCTAACATCCACTAGTTGGCCTGATGTTCATCTGAGGGCTTGGTGTCAACCAGTGGCTTTATGTACACCTGGATTCTAGTGTCCTCCTGGGGTCTTATGCCTACCAGGAGTCTGGTGTACCCCTGGGGTCTAGTATCCACCTGCAGTCTGGGCGTCCACCTGGAGCCTAATGTTGAGGTTAGACTGAGTGTCAGCCTGAGGCCTGATGTCTACTAGGGCATAGATATTCACCTGGGGCTTGTTGTTTACCTGGGGACTAATGTCAACCTTGAGCCTAGGTATCCACCTGGGGAATAGTGTCCAGTTGCAGCCAGATGTCCACCTATGGCCTGAAGCATGGTTGTTATCCTAAGTCCTTGTATTAGTCCATTTTCACACTGTTATAAAAAACTACCTGATATTGGGCAACTTATGAGGAAAAGAGGTTTAACTGACCCACAGTTCTTCAGGCTTAACAGGGAGCATGACTGGGCGGGCTCAGGACACTTACAATCATGATGTAAAGCCCTTTTTACCATGTGGGAGGAGGAGGGAGACAGAAGGGGGATGTGCTACACACTTTCAAATAACCAGGTCTCGTAAGAACTCTATCACGAGAACACCAAGTGGGAAGTCTGCCCCCATGATTCAATCACCATTCACCAGGCTCATTCTTCAACCCATGGGGATTACAATTCAACATGAGATTTGGGTGGAGACATAGAGCCAATATCAGGCCTGATGCCCGCCTGGAGTCATGTCTACCTGAGGCCTAATGTAGACATGAGGCCTGGGCATTCACCTAGGACCTCATGTTAAGATAGGTGCTGGAGTTCTTTTGGTGCCTAGTGTATACCTGGGGCCCAGATGTATAACTAGAACCTGATGTTTCAGATGGAAACCTGGGCCCCAGGTGCTCATCAGATCCCACGTGAAAACTCAGGCTTCAGGTGCACATCAGACTCCAAGTGGACACATAGGCCCTAGGTTGATACCAAGATTTCAGGTAGACTCTGGGTCCCAGAAAAACACCCCGCCCTAGGTGGACAGCTGAACCTGAGTAGACATCAGGCCCCGGATTGACATCTGGCCTCAGGTAGATTCCTAGGCCCAAGGTGAATACTCAGTCTCCTGCCCTAGGGGAATTCAGTCTTAGGTGATTAAGGACTGGTGTTCCTCTGGGGCCTCATGTCTACCTGGGCCCTGGGAGTGCACATGGAGCCAGATGTCTATAAAGGGCCTGAGTGTCCACTAGGGCCTGAGGTTCACCAGGAGCATAGACATCCACCTAGGACCTCGTGTCCACCTAAAACCTGGTGTTCACCTGGGGCCTGGGTGACAACCTGGGATCTGATGTTCACCTGAGGCCCAGAGTTCAGCTGGTGCCTATGTCAGCCTGGCACCTGATACACACGAGACGACTAGGTGCCCACCTGAGGACTGGTGTTCATGGGGAACTGGTGTTCAGCTGTGGCTTGATGAGCAACTGGGTCCTGGTGTCCTCCTGGCAACTGATGTCCACCTGGGACTTCATGCTTACCTAGGGCCTGGTGTTCCCCTGGGGCCTGGTGTGCCCCTGAGATCTGGGGTCCACCTGGGCCTAGTATCCACTTGGGGCCTCATATCCATCTGGAACATCATGTCCACTTGGGGCCTTGTAGTTACCTAGGGACTGGGTGTCCTTCTGGCACTTGGGTGTCCTCCTGGGGCCTGGGGTTCTCCTGGGGCCTGGGTGTACATCTCTGGCCTGATGTCCACCTTGGGTGGATGTCCACCTGGGGACAGATGTTCACTTGTGGCTTGAGTGTCCATCTCGTGTCTAATGTCTACCTGGGGCCTGGTGTTTGCCTGAGGCCTTATATCCACCTGGGGCCTGGGCATCCATTTGAGGCCTGATGTCTACCTAAGACCTGGTGTTTAACTGGGGCACAGACTTCTTCCTGGAGCCTGACGTTCATCTGGAGCCTGAAGTTCACCTGTGCTTGTTGTCTACCTGAGGCCTATGTGTCAACCTAGTGCCTGATGACCACCCTGAGTTCAGTGTTCACCTGGGGCCTGACATCTGTCTGGAGTCTGGGTGTCCACATAGGGCCTGATGTTGGCTTGGGACCAAAGTATTTACCTAGGGCCTGGGTGTCTACTTACAGCCTGACTTCTACATGGTTCATTGTGTCAACCTGGGGCCTGATGTCCACTTAGGTCCTAGGTAAGCTCCTTATGACTAAAGTCCACATGGGGGCTGAAACCATCTCAGACCTTGAACCTAGGGCTTAGTGTCGACCTGAGACCTGGTGACCCCCTGGGGTCAAGGTATCCACCTTGGGCCTGATGACCAACTGGGGTTTAAGGATCTACCTAGAGACTGGTGTCAACCTGGAACCTGATGTCCACTTGGGGTCTGGTGTACACCTTGGGCCTGATGCCCACCTTGGCACAGGTGTACACTTTGGGCCTAGTGTGCACCTGAAGCCTGGCTGTCAACCTGGGTCTTGATGCACACCTTTAGTCAAGTGTTAAACTGGGGCCTGATGAAATACTGGAGCCTGATTTACACCTGTGTACTGGGTCTCCACCTGGGGCCTGATGTCCACCTGCAGCCAGATATCCACCTGGCACCAGATGTCTTTGAGGAATCTGGGTGTCCACCTTGAAAATGATGTATTCCAAGAGACTAGGCATGCACATTGGGCCTGGGGTGCACCTAGGTCCTGATGTCTACCTGAGGCTGGTATTGAGCTGGGGCCTGTGTGTTCACTTGGAGCCTGATGTTCATTTGGAACCTGGTGTTCACCTAGGACATGGGTATCCACATGGATCCTGATTTTCAGGTGGGGAGTGGATATAGATCTGGGACCTGATGGCCACCTATGCTATAAGTAACCCAACCACCTGAGGCCTGATGTTCACCTGCAGCCTGATATCCACCTGGTACCTGTGTGTCAATCTAGTGCCTGGTGTCCAGTTGAGGACTAGGCAGACACCTGGGGCTTGGCGTTCACCAGGGGCCTGGTGTTCATCTTGCACCCAGTGTCCACCTGGACCCTGTGTATCAACCTGTGGCCTAGGTGGCCACTGTAGCTTTATGTGCACCTGGGGCCTGAGAGTTTCCTAGGATCTGATGACCACTGGGGCCCAGGTATCCACCTGGGATATCAGGCTTCAAGTGTACACCCAGGCTCCATGTGGACACCAGGCCAGGAGAATGCCAGCCCTTATCTGAACATCAGGTCCTAGATAGACGCCCAGGCTCCATATGTACATCAGGCCCCAGGTATACACTGGACTCCAGGTGGACACCACACTCAATTGGATACACACACTTAAGGTGGATACCAGGCCCCACGTGAATTCCTATACTCCAGGTGAACATCAGGTCCCAAGTGGATACCTGGACCCCAGATGAATACCAGTCTCTAAATTAATACCAGGCCTCAGATGGTCCTTAGGAACCATGTGGGCATTAGTCATCAGGAAGTTACCTAGGCCCAAAGTGGACATCAGGCCCCATGTTGACACAAGATCTAGTTGGAAGTCAGGCACCAGGTGGACACCCAGGCCCTAGGTAAATACTTAGGTCCCAAGTTGACAGCAGGCCCTATGTGAACACTCAGAACTCAGGTGGACATCAGGCCTCAGGTGGACATCTGAGTTCATCTGGAACCTCATGTTACAGGCCCCATGTAAACACCAGGCCTTAGATGGATACCCAATCTCTAGGTAGACATCAGAGCTCAGATTGACACAAAGACTCCACTAGACATAATGTACCAATGAATATCCAGGCGCCCGGTAAATACCCAGGCCCCAGATTGACACCATGGTCTATGTGGACACACAGGCCCCGGGTAGTAAACAGGCCCAAGGTGGACACTGGACTGGACATCAGGTCCTAGGTTGACAACCGTGCTCCAAGTTGACACCAGGCCCCAAGTGAACATCTGGTCCCAGCTGGACACTAGTCCCCTGGTGAATACCTGGGCTCAAGGTTGACATCAGACCCTATGTGAACACTAGACCCCAGATAAACACTTATGCCCTAAGTGGACATCAGGCCTCAGGTGGTTACCCAGTCCCAAGGTGAACATCAGGACCCCGATGGGCACCAGTTATCAAGTGGATTCCTAGGCCCCAGGTGAATATCAAGCCCTAGGTGGATACCGAGCCCCAGGTGGATACCTGGATCCTGGTAGACATCAGGTCCCAAGAGGACACTAGAACCCAGGAGTACATTAGGCCACAGGTTAACACGAAGGCCCCAGATGAATACCAGGCCAACTTGTGGACATCAGGCCTGAGAAGGGTCCTTGGGCTCCAGGGGGATATCAGGCCCCAGGTGAACATCCAGCACTCAGATGAACATTAAGCTTCAGGTAGGCATCATGCCTCAGGTGAACTCCAGGCCCCAGCTGAACATCAGGTCCCACGTGGATGCCCAGAATCCTGGTGCACATCTGGTCACAGTTGGACATTCAACCCCAGGTGACCATCAGGCCATGGGTGAATACACGGTTTCCAGGTAGACATCAGATCAAAGGGGAACATCAGTCCCCCAGTGGACATCAGGCCCAAGGTGGACACTCAACTAGAGGTTTACATCAGGCCACATGTTGACACCTAGTCCCAGGTGGACATCAGGCCCCAGGTGGATACCTAGGCTTCCAGTGAATTTCAGACACCAGGTTGACATTCAGGCCCCCAGTGGTCATCTGGCCTCATGCGAACACTCAGACCCCAGGTGCAAATGATGTCTCAACTGGATACCAAACCCCTAGTTTGATACCCAAGGCCCAGGTGGACACCAGGTCCAAGGCTGACACTCAAGCCCTAAGTGAATACCAAACTCTAGGTGAATAATTCAACCCAGGTGGTCATTAGGACCCAGCTGGATACCAGTCCCCAGGTTAACAGAAGGCCCCCGCTGGGCACCTAGGCACCAGCTGGACATCAGGCCCTATGTAAACACCCAGGTCTCAGGTGAACACCATGTCCCAGGTGGACATCAGGCCCTAGGTGGACACGGGGCCACAGGTGGACATCTAGCCCCTGGGCAACATCCAGCCCCAGGTGGACATAACCATTTCCATGGATAAACCATTCCCAGGTGGATAGCAGGCCTCAAGAGGATGGCAGTCACCAGGTAGACATCAGGCCTCAGATAGACACCAAGGTCCCAGATGTACAGCAGGCCCCAACCGAACCCCAGACTCATGTGGACATCAGGCCACAGGTAGACACCAAGCCTTAGGTAGATACCTAACTTCAGGTAGACATCAGACCCAAGGTGGACACCCAGTCCCCAGGTGGACAGTCAGGCCCCAGGCACACATCAGGCCTTAAGTGGTCACCCAGGCCCCAGGTTAATATCCAGTTCCCAGGTGATCACCAAGCCCCAGGTAGACACCAGGCCGTAGGTGAGCAACAGGATGCAGTAGGTCATCAGGCCACAGCTGGATACCAGTCCCTGGTGAACACAAGGCCCCAGTGGGACACAGATCTAAGGCAGACATTAGGCCCCAGGTGGATCTGGGTGGAATTCACCCTGAGGGGGACATTCGGCCCCAGGTACGCATCAGGCCTCAGCTGAATAACCAGTCCCCAGGTGGACATTAACCCACAGGTCAACCACAGTCCCCAGGTTGATACCTGGTCCCCAGGTGGCTACTCAATCTGCAGGGTAACATTAGGCCCCTGTAGGATCCCAGGCCCCAAGTGGATTCCTAAGCCCCTGGTGAACATCAGGTGCAGGTGTCCAAGTAGGCCCTGGGTGGACATAACTGTGTACAGGTAAGGAGTTGACCTATGGGGAGGATGAGCAGTCAGAAGCCCACTGGGGTCCTGCGTAGGTCTTCTGGAAGGGGGAGGCTGAGGGGATGGAACCTTAAAGAAGCAACCTCACTTCTTTGGCAACAGACCCTAACAGAACTTAGAATTCTGGTAACCAGGCCAGGCACGGTGGCTCACACCTGTAATCCCAGCACTTTGGGAGGCTGAGGCAGGAGGATCATGAAACCAGGAGATCGAGACCAGCCTGAACAACATGGTAAAACCACATGTCTACTAAAAATACAAAAAGCAAACAAGGTCAGGAGATCAAGACCATCCTGGCTAACACAGTGAAACCCCGTCTCTACTAAAAATACAAAAATTAGCCGGGCGTAGTGGTGGGCGCCTATAGTCCCAGCTACTCGGGGGGCTGAGGCAGGAGAAAGGCATGAACCCAGGACACGGAGCTTGCAGTGACCCAGATCACGCCACTGCACTCCATCCAGCCTGGGTGACAGAGCGAGACTCTGTCTCAAAACAGACAAACAAACAAACAAAAAACAAACACAAAAAAACTAGCCAGGTGTTGTGGTGCATGTCTTGGGCCTGTAATCCCAGCTACTCAGGAGACTGAGGCAGGAGAATTGATTGAACCCAATAGGCGGAAGTTGCAGTGAGCCGAGATCATGCCACTGCACTCCACCCTGGCCAACAGAATGAGACAATGTCTCAAAAAAAAAAAAAAAAAGAATCCCGATAACCAGGCACCCACATCCTAGAGTTAGCCCTGTAGCCAGCTCACTTGGTGGGAGATGCTCAAGAGAGCAAGACGTTCTTGTGCTGCATCCCCACATCTCAAGGCTCCTGCTTCAGGAATGGCAGGAGTGAGAGCCTTTCTTTTCCAACGATGCCCTTGTAAGCTCATCGCTCACTCCAGATGCCTCTGGCCATTTGACAGAAGGTCCCCCCAGGTACCACAGGACAGGAGTCACCAGGTAGACATCAGGCCCCAGATGGAGCTACCAGGCCAGGCCTCACCAGTGATCCCACCAGGGCCACATCTGCACATTGTCCTTGTCCAGCTGGAGCCTCTGGAGCTCATTGAGACACAGGCACATGGTGAGGTCACCTGCAGTCTGGAAGTCTTTCCAGGGACAATGTTTTCAGGCTGAAATTCCTTTAAATTCAGTGAGGTTGTTTTCATGTTTGGAAATTCCAGTGGAAAGTGAGTGATATTGGTGACCTCTCTCCTTTTGCAGCTCCTGCTTCAGGTGCAGAAACACAGCTATTTCCAGTGCCAGCTGTTGAGCCAGTGCCAGCACCAGGGGCAGAGCCCCTTCCAGGGACAGCGCTGGAGCTAGAGGAAGCTCCAGAGCCCTCCTGCCGCTGCCCTGGGACTGCACAGGACCAGCCTAGTGAGAAGCTGCCTGACTTCATGGCACCTCCTGTAGAGCCACTGGCCTCAGCCCTGGAGCTGAAAGTGTGGCTGGAGCTAGAGGTGGCAGAGAGGGGGTGACCAGCACAGCTCCAGCCAGCAGCTCCCACACTGCTCCCAGTCCTGGGCACAGTGGAAGCTATGGAGGCAGAGACCAGGGTGTGCAACCTGGGCTCCTCTGCCTCACTGGAGAGGGACTTCTCTCATTCAGCAGAGCAGCAGCCCTGCTGCTGAAGGCCCTGCCGCTACTGCTGCTGGAGGTGTTTGCCTGCCTGCAGGAGGTGCTGGAGAGCAAGAAAAGGAGCCTGTGAGCAGGGGTTCCAGCAGGTCCTCCTGCTCCCAGAGGCGACCTCCTCCTCCAGGAATGGAGGTTTGCCCTCAGCTGGGCATCTGGGCCATTTGCCTCTAATGTGCTGCCCAGGATGGCCTCTTCTTGACAGGTGGACAGGGGTTGAGGGGGCCAGGGGGCATCTCCAAAGGAAGCTCTTAAACTCAGCAGCAGCACTCCAGAATCTCCATGCCTGCACCTGCCCAAGGATTTATTCATAGCTTAACTAAGAATTTCAAATTTCTACCATAACACTGAAATAAAGTTTGACTTTTTGAAACTTCCATGACTTCTTTCACTCCCTAATATTGTAGATGGTGTTTTTGAGGTGACGTTGAAAACCTCTGATAGTTGTGTATTTTGTTGTGGTTCTTTGGGTGATTAAATTACCATCTGATCAAGTGATATTGAAAACCCTTCAGGTATGGCTTTTAGAAGACTTTGACCTATTTTTGCTTGTGTTGACTCTCCCTCCAGCTTTGTGGAAAGAGGGATCATGTAGGTTCATTTCTCAGGCAGATCAGTCACCTTTTGCTATCAAAGTTTTAGCATCCATTTCGAAAATTTGATGTACAAGTTGATATTTTGGTGTTTTTAGCTAATCTGGGGTCAAAACAGAATGCCATAGATGAGGAAGCTTATAAACAAATTTGTTTCTCTCTGTTCTGGAGATGGCAAAATTCAAGGTCAAGTGGTTAGCAGATTCCATGTCTGGTGTGGGCTTGCTTTGTGGTTCATAGACAGCCATGTTTCTACCATGTCCTCACATGACAGAAGGGATGAGGGAGCTTTCTATGGTGCCTTCAATAGGGGCTACTAATCCCACTCCTGTGGTCCCTGCCTTCATGATCTAATCATTCCCCAAGGCCCTACCTCCAAATATCATCACATAGGGAATTAGATTTCAGCACTTGAATTTGAGGGGGACAATAACATTTGGTCTGTAGCATCAGGTTACCCAGAGCCTTATGCATTCGGAGGAAATCCAAAATCTTCTATAAGTGTTTGCTGGTCCCCTCCGGGCTTAGGGGAATCTTTAATTGCAGCTCTTGATTCAGCTTGGTCCAAGCCGAAATTCTACGTTTGCCTGAGTAACTTGTTCATGGGACAGAGGGAAGTATAGAGGCAACTGACCATTTGGAGTTTAGGACAATTGATGGAAGAGGGCTTGGCATCTGGATGAGAAGTGGAGGGAGAATAGAACAAAGGCACAGAAGGAGAGAGCACAATGAGAAAGGGGAAGAGGGACATCTGGACATAAGGGCCAACTGGAGGGCAGGGAAGGTAATTTTCCTTGCATTTTAGACTCAGACCACATATCACATCAGAATCACCTGAGGGAGACGTTTTCAATGCATATTCCTGGGTTTCTTCTCTTGGAAATTTGTATTAAATCTTGAGTTGTGCTGATTTATCCATATTTATCATAAGAATTTTGGATAATTCTTACTTTGAGAGGCCCAGGCAGTGGATCACTTGAGGTCAGGAATTCAAAACCAGCCTGGCCAACATGGTGAAACCTCATCTCTACTAAAAATACAAAAATTAGCCAGGCATGGTGGTACATGCCTGTAGTCCCAGCTACTTGGGAGGCTGAGGCAGGAGAATCACTTGAATCAGGGAGGCAGAGATGACAGTGAGCTGAGATCACACCACTGCACTCCAGCCTGGGCAACAGTAAGACTCCATCTCAAAAAAAAAAAAAAAAAAGAATTGTGGATAATTCTGATGCAATTAGAAAACAAAGCAGAGCTTGACAACCACTGGGTTGGGATGTATATCAGGAAGACATTTGATTATGTAAAATAACTGCAAAGCAAACTGAAGGGGAAATATTTTAAACTGCTTGAATATAATTAGATAATTCAACTCTTCCTATGTATGTAGTTTGACCACGTATTTGATGTCTGCTATACTAAGATTGGAAATGTGTAGAAGTGTTTTTAAAAATCAGGTAGAAGCACAGAAAAAAGGAGTTGGAGAGAAAAGAAAACTAGCTATTGTCTGGTAACAAGAGAAGAGAAGGGAAACGAAGTAGCATATTTTTGTTCATTGTTTGATGGCATCTAAATTATAATCCCAAATATTTTTTTCTAAGAAATCCAATAATACAAGTATTCAGAGTGGAGTACCAACACTGATTTACTGGGAAAGAGAAGTGTAATCTGTTTTGCTGCATAATGTTGAGGGAGAAGGAAAGGAAAATTAGTTGAGTAAACAAGTAAGAGACTGGTCCTCAGGGAAGCTGTCTGCCTGAAAAATCACAACTACTGCACCTACAGATAAGCCCTGAACAGATAAGCATGCAGGGTCCAGCACCGATGCCTTCTGTTCTTTGTGTAATTGGCAAGCTCCCAGGTAAAATTTTCCTCCCCTTTTCAGGCATATACATGGCGGCCTCTGTGGGAACTTGCACAGGGAGGAGGGGGGCTTACCTAAAACAAACCCACAGTTATACAAACAGGAGAAGCCCACTTTGTGCTTGACTAGAGACATACCCACAGCTGGATATATAAAGGGAATTGTGCAGACAGTTTTATATATAGCTGAGAGGAGTTTCTTATAAAAGCTTTTTGATTCAACTGTAAAAACGGCAATCCACTTGGACGCCCTTGTCTGCTGCAGAGAGCTTCCTCCTTTTGCTTATTAAACTTTCACTCCCACCTCACCCGTGTGTCCCCGTTCCTTAATCATCTTGGTGGTGAGATGAAGAACTCAAGGTGATACCTCACAAGAGAGACTGCTACATTGTGTTGCATTGGTGAGACTGCAACTTTAAGAAGTGTGACTTTTATTGCTGCTGAATTATTTTATCTCCTACCCAGTTGAAAATAAAGGATATAAAGTGCTTAGGTTGAACACAAAGTCCTCTGCTCTAGGTAACATCTTCAGCAGCCACATTAGCAGAGGCATGGGTGGTAATGGTGGAATAGATGTCTCTTTGCTTCTGACAGGGTGTCTGCTTATGTGTTAAACAAAATAGTATGGTATATATTTCATTAAGAAATCTGCTAAAAAATGAAGTAAAAGAGGTTCATGTTCTTAAGAGGCACAGGATTTGCTACGGCAGCAAGACCAAAAGGCTTAAGTAACAAAAATGTGCATAGTAGTTACAAACATTTTCATCTAAACAAAACAATGTGAGCATCTGCATATGACAATAACTCATGCAAAAATATTTTTAACTGAGATTGAAATCATTTTATACATAACGTGTTATCACTGTATTCTCAGGTAATATATTGTTTGTATATAGATGTTATAAATAATAACTTATTTAAGTTATTCATCATTTATACAACAAATAATTCTTTGGAATCTACAAAATGCTGGTTTTGTTCTAGTCACTGAATGTACAAATTGATTTAAAATATGTGTTCTTAGAGTGTGGTAGATTAAAAAATACAAAATAGGCCGGGCACAGTGGCTCACACCTGTAATCCCAGCACTTTGGGAGGCCAAGGCAGGTGGATCACCTGAGGTCAGGAGTTCGAGACCAGCCTGACCAACATGGTGAAACCCCATCTCTACTAAAAATACAAAATTAGCCAAGGGTGGTGGCACAAGCCTGTAGTCACAGCTACTCGGGAGGCAGAGGCAGGACAATCGCTTGAACCTGAGAGGTGGAGATGGCAGTGAGCCGAGATTGCACCATTGCACTCCAACCTGGGCAACAAGAGCAAAATTCTGCCTAATATATATACATATATTGTGTATATACACACATATGCATATATTGTGTATATACACACATATGCATATATGGTGTATATACACACATATGCATATATGGTGTATATACACACATATGCATATATGGTGTATATACACACATGCATATATGGTGTATATACACAATATATGCATATATGTGTATATACACACATATGCATATATGTGTATATACACAGATATGCATATATTGTGTATATACACAGATATGCATGTGTGTATATACACCATATATGCATATGTGTGTATATACATATATGCATATGTGTGTATATATTACATATATGCATATGTGTGTATATATTACATATATACGTGTGTGTATATTACATATAGGCATGTGTGTATATATTACATATATACGTGTGTGTATGTATATTACATATATACATGTGTATGTATATACATATATACATAATATATAATGTATGCATATGTATAATATACATATATATCTGTCCAATATATATACATAAATACATATATTAAATATATATACACATATATATTGGAAGTTGTACTGCTGAAAACAAGAGCTACCAACAAAAAAATTTCAGGAAACCTAGTGTGATTATTTTTAATAGAAATCAATATTTTAATACAGGTCTCTTGTTTTTTCTTGTGGAAATAAATGACAAGATGGAATTTCTGGGTGTTTGGTGTCTGAATATTTAAGTATAGCAGGTATGGTCAGTTTTTCAAAGACATTTTACCATCTTACTTGTCCATCGGCAACTCATAAGATATGTGGAACAACGTCCTCTCCAACAACCTCTAGTATCAGTCTTTGTAAAGTTTGTCAATTAAATGGGTGTTTTTTAGTTTTTGTTTTTGTTTTTCTTTTTCAAACCGTCTCACCCTGTGACCCAGGCTGTAGTGCTGTGGCGTGATCTTAGCTCACTGCAGTCTTTGCCTTCCAGGTTCAAGTGATTCTCCTGCCTTGGCCTCTCAAGTAGCTGGGACTACAGGTGCCCCCCACCACACCCAGCTAATTTTTGTATGTTTAGTAAAGACAGGGTTTCACCATGTTGGCCAGGCTGTTCTCAATCCTGACCTCAGATGGTCCACCTGTCTCAGCCTCCTAAAGCGCTGGGATTACAGTCATGAGCCACCGCACTTGGCTGGATTTTCTTTCTCTCTCACTCTCTCTCTCTCTCTCTCTCCTTTAAGTTCTGGGATAAATGTGCAGAACATGCAGTTTTGTTACACAGGTATACATGTGTCATGGTGGTTTGCTGCAACATGGGTGTAGGTTTTGCAGGTAATTATTATATTATTAAAAGATAACAGAATACCTAGCTAAAAAAAAAATGCAAGGAGGCATTGATGGGCACATGTTTACTGAGCACATCCTGACTCCAGAATTAAAAATCCAATTTATGTCTCTGTAGTCCAATAAAATTTTTCCTTAAGAATCCAGGGATCAGACTTTCATCTCAGCAACCACTCCAATATGGTTTCTCACCTACTCATTCCAACGAGCTGCTCATATCAAAATATAAGTGCTATCCATATTGTTAAATTATAAATTGAACCATAACTTCTCGGCCTTCATCTTAATTTATATATCAGCAGCATTTCACACAGTTGATCTCCACCTTCTCTTTGTAAAACTTTTTTATAGAATTCCAGAACACTTAACTTACTTTCCCCCCACTACGTTTTTGATAATTACCCCTAGTCCTTTTTTGCAGGTTTCATCTTTACTATTTTTTAAATGTTAGAGGACCATTAGGCTCAGGACTTTGACTTCTTATCTTTCTTATCTTTGCTTTCTTACTAATTTTTGTGTCATTAATTTCCTGATATTTCATATTACACCTAAACACTGGACACTACACCCAACACTCCCTGACTTTTCCACGTGGATGTCAGTTAAGAATCTCAAAATTAATATGTCTGTATGGAGCCACTGAAACTCCCAAAATTTGCTCTTCCCCATTCTGTTTAATGGCAACTCCCATTTTATAGTTTCTCAGCTCAATATTCTTGGTGTCCCCTTTTAATTCTGTCTCTGTAGCTCTGTCACTCTCTTCCTGTATCTGTCTGATTCTCTCCCTCTCTCTCCTCTCTCTCTTGCTCACTCTCACTCTTGCTCTCTTTCCCTGCTTCACACGCACACAAACACACACAGACAGACACACACACACACACACACATTTTCAGATCTGATGTGTATGGAATTCCTGCCAGCTTTACCTTTAAAGTGTAGTAATTCCAAATGTTGTTGAAAATTCACCTTCCCACCCCCACCACTTGGTAACTATAGCGCTTTCCACACAAGGCCAAGTGCACAGATTTCTTGGGGAAATAATGAGAACTATTATACACTCTTATTTCAAGGACCCTTAAAATTATAGGATTGCCATATTTGATACTAATTTAAGCTTCTGTCATTGCCCCTTTTTCAATCCAGTCTCCACACAGCTACCACAGTGTGCAAGTAGAAGTCTCAGCCATATCACCAAACTCCTGCTTTAATGTCCCTACTCCATTGCTTCTTTTCTCCTTCAGAAGAGTTTAAGCTTAATGAAGCTGGGCAACTTTACATATTTTTCCATGAGCTGGAGATCACTTGGTGTAAGGTAAAAATGACCAGTAAATATTTTCAAATAACAGAATCTACGAATAATAGTCTTGTTTCTTTGAGAGTACATTGACTTTTAAAAATCAAGAAAATAGATTGGTCAAGAGAATTCTGCTTGTTTTGATTTTGTTATCCCTCGATTAGATTAACTGTGTTAGTATAAAAGTCAGTGTGGAAAGCTATAAGCAATTCCTAAACTTTAAAATGAAAGGCATGGAATTTAAATATCTGTTCCTTTTATTCAAGCAACCAAAAAACATAACTTTTTAAATATATTTTATGTATGTATGAAATCTAAATTTATTTTTCTCTCTTTATCCCTGAATACTTTTTAAAGTTATTCATGTCCTCATTATTTTTTAATCCACTTCAGTCACATTTTAAAATATATTTTCGACTTCATTAAGAATATCTTTGTGTTCCACTGAATAGCTTGCCAAATAATAAAACATTAGCAGTATAATTTCCTCATAAACTTTATTTAATTTGCTTGGTTAAACATAGATTTCCTACTCTCAACTCATAATTTCATTCAAGTATAATATATTCTACTTGACATTTGCAGGGTTTTCATACCATGCATTTGTCATTGAAATTGGTTTTTGATATTTGAACCACTAGTTTATAATTGTCTTGTTGGTTAGACTGGTCTGTAGAATCTTTCTTTGTTTTGATTCTGTGGTTTATTCATTATGGAATAGCTGTGCTACTGTAAATTTTGAGGTCAAAAGCTTAAAACATTTTATGTATTTTAAAACAAAGTGGATGGCATTTAAATATCTATTCCTTAAAATTTGGAAGAAAGGTTAACACCATATAAACCCAGAGCCTGTTTTTTAGATTAGTAGCATGTAGACATTTTCAATTTCTTCTAAAGTTGAAAAAAATAAACATTTTATATTCATAGAATGCTTGATGAAGGTAAATATTTAATTTTCACTTAAAAGAAATTTGGTTACATTGAAAGGAAATTTGGCTAATATAAGTGAGATACATATCTAATTAAAACAATAATTTAAGATAAATAATGCTCAAAGAACAGTGGTCGTTGCATTTATTCCAGAGAGAGGACAATTATCCTGATCTGGCTGTAATAACGTAGTAGGTAGAACTGCTGGCGTGGACACCCAAGCAAGGAAGGAAAGCTGGTGTCTCAAGGGGTCCCACTGAGATGGAAAGGGGTCAGGGCCCAGACTGTTGATGTCACCTGGACCCAACCACCACATCTTGGAAGAAGAAATGACCCTCCCTTCCTGGTGTTGCCCCAAACAAGGAGCTTAGCAGTGTTGCACACAGGATAGTCCTTGCAGGAGACATGTTTGACAAGCTGCTGAGGTGCCTGATGGGGCCAGGCTTTTTTTCATGAAATGAGTTTGCATCCTGAGGAAGCCTCTTTATTGGAAACCTGGCAGGGATCCAATTTCCCCTTTGCCTTAACCCCGTAGGAGCATAGTAGATAGGGAGGAGGTCACCCAGGTGGCTGTTCCTGCTTGGCCCCCACTTCCCAGACCATTCCAGGCAGGGAGAGCCGCTGAGATCACTCCATGGGCTGCTCACATGGGGTCTGGACCCAGCCGCCCTCCTGTGCCTGGCAGGCAGCCCCTGGGCCATCACAGGACCCACTGTGTGGTGATCAGTGGCCCACCACCTGCCCTTGTGGTGGGTGCGGTTCACAGGTGCTGCCCCAGTCCTGGCACACTGGCCTTCCCAGCCTGGCCCAGGATAGGGGATGTGAATGATCCTTGCCTGTGCCCCTTCAGACCATGTGAGGTTGGACACTCACTGCAGAAGTCCCTCCAGGTCCCTTTTCAACTGAGTTGTGGGGGACTTGCTTAGTCCTCATGCCCAGGGTCAGGGGAGGGGTGCAGAGTCTGCACCCTAAATCCCCTAGGGCCTGAGGGAGGTCTCCCAGGTTATCTCTGTCCTCTCCAGTGACATGAGTCCTCCCAGATGGCCTCAGCCCTCTCAGGTGACTTGCTTCCATGGTGACTCTGGCTCTTGCAGGAGGTGGGCTACTACAGGGACATGAGCTGCCTAACTGCCATCCTCCTCCTGTATCTGCCAGAGGAAGACACCTTCTGGGGACTGAATCAGCTGATGGCTGAGGAGAGGCACTCCCTGCAAGGTAGGCGGACAGCTACCCCCAGGGCCTCATGCAGCCAGGCCATGGGACGGCCACCCTGGCTGGGCGATCCTGACTTCCAGACAAGGCACCTTCCTTGCTTTCCAGCTTGTTAGGAGCCTTCAGGACATCCCTGCTGAGGGTCCCACAGGGGCCCAGAGCTGAACAGGGACCCTTTCACTTCAAGGCAGACACCTTTCATTCCCAACAGCAGAGGCCGCTGCAGCCTCCCCCTGGCCACCCTGTGTGTCCCAGAGCCACAGCCCTCTAGCCCTGAGTTCATGCAGGTGACTCTCACTTCCCCAAGAGTCCTCCTACCTCCCAGCTGGCCACACTCCCAGCTGCCCCCCCAGCCCACAGATGGGCCGATGAAGTCAA
This sequence comes from Homo sapiens, assembly GCF_000001405.40. NCBI lineage: Eukaryota > Metazoa > Chordata > Mammalia > Primates > Hominidae > Homo > Homo sapiens. The sequence goes on from NT_187374.1 coordinate 114,716, forward strand.
GATGGCAGTGTCTGCCCATCCCATGTCCCCTAGCCAGACCCCATGTCCAGGAGATGGCCATGTAGTCCCTCGGCACCCACCCGGTTCCCTCCACTGGCCACTGCCTGCCGCAGCCCTGCCTCACAGCCTCAAAGGCAGGCCTGCCCTTCTGGCACCTTTACCCAGGATGCTGCTGTGCAGTGCCTCCAGCTAGGGCCCACCTCTCTAGAGCTGAGGCCACATGGTAGGGTCACCTGATGGAAGGGAGGAAGGCCTCAGGGTCCGGGGTCCCCTGCCACTGCCCAGCTCTTCCAGCTGATGGCTCCACATCTTGGGAGTGGGCTCTGATGCATGATGGGTCAGGGGCTTCTCAGGTTTCTACAGCCCAAATACTGCCCAGCTCTGGAGGCTTCTATCCCACCAGGGACAGGTATAACACAAATCCTTCCCAAAGATCATGCGGTACCTGCTGAGTGGATGACACCCTCAACTCTTTCCCAGAGGCCCAGGGTCTCATGGGGCAGGGAAACAGGGGAAGATGGAGCTCCTCGCAGGCCTGACAAAGGGGCTGAGTCCCAAGCCAAGGCCTCACCCAAGATGAGGATTCTCCATGGGTTTGGAGTTGGGTTTCCTTTTCCTGCCCTGGAGGAGGAGGAAGAGGTACTAGGATGGGGGCTGAGCTCCAGCTGAGCAGGGTTAAGGGAAGTGTGTCCACCAGGCATCTGTGCATGGGGGAGTTGTTGGGGAAGCACTGGCCAGTGTTCTGCCCCAGGGCAGCTCAGGGGGCCCTGAGCACCTAGGGTCCAGGAAGTGCCGTGCATTGAGGTTTGTTGAGTTGGCTCCTCTGGTGTTTTGTTGATGTGGTAAGGAGACAAATGGAGACCCCAGGACAGGGACTCTCCTGTCCCACAAGTGCCCAGCTCCCCCAGGAAGACCTGGCTCACCCCAAGTCAGCAGGAAGCACAGGAAAGTTTCTGCATGGCACAGAAGCCAGGCCCTCCTCAAGAGGGGGCATCACACAGCAGGGGTCAGGATTCAGGCCCGCTGCTATTTCCACATTATTCATTTTATAAGGTGATATGGTTTGGCTGCGTTGCCACCCAAATCTCATCTTGAACTGTAATTTCCATAATCCTCATGTGTCCTGGGAGGGACCCAGTGAGAGGTAACTGAATCATGGCGGCAGTTTCCCCATGCTGTTCTCATGATAGTAAGTGAGTTCTCATGTGATCTGATGGTTTTATAAGCAGCTGGCATTTCCCTTGCTTGAGGTGATGAATGCCCCATTTACCCTGATATGTTTATTACACATTGCATGCCTGTGTCAAACTATCTCATGTACCCCATAAATATATACACCTACCATGTACTCATATAAATTAAAAATAAAAATAAAATTTTTAAAAAAGTGTGAGTTTTAAAGGTGAGGTTTGCCCTCCAGCGCTGGTGCCTGCCAGGTGTGACCTTCACATCATCTTTCCACATGGTCCAGGCCCCCATCTGCAGAGGCCAACAGTTCCCAGAGTGACCTTCCTCAGAAAACAGGGTCTTGGAGGAGACAGTCAGAGGAGGGGGCCTCGTCCTCCCCACTGCACAGCCCCTTGTGGGGATTGGAAGTGAGGGTCTCTGCCCACAAGTTATCAGTCACCCTAAGCTGTTTTGTGGGAGGAAGCATAGGGAATATAGGTCAGTGCTGGGACAGCGTTTCCTGATCCTGACTTGGAGAAGGTGTTAAAATCTTGACATTCCCGACACCTCCTTTGTGAGAGCCCCTGTCCTGCAGGTCTCACAGGGTTGTTGTGAGGGTCACCTGTGGTGATGGGTTTGGAAGTGCTTTGTGAATGACACAGTGGGCCTTCCTATTCCTGTCATTGGCCTTTCGACCTTCAATACTAATTGCCTGGGGATCTCCAGGCCTCAAGGTCTAATCCTGGAAGGGTATGAGATGTCCCTAGTGGAATATTCTACACCTCCTGGGAGGTCTCTCACTTCAACCTTCACCTGACATAACCCCTGCTCCTGTTCCCTCAACCTGGAGAGCTTGCCCAGGAGCACATGGTAGTACTGGACTGACCTCTTTGGAAAGGGTGATTACATCCTGATTTCAGCTCTCCCTCCTCCTAGCTTTCCACGTAGAAATCCAGGGCTCCATGCAGCATTTGCTGGACATGAGGGGAAAACTTTTAGGGCAGGGATCTGCCCTGGGTGGGGACAGAGGAGTATCCTGGAGTCTGAGTGTCAGGAGTGTGAGACCTGCCCAGCTGGCCAGCCCCTGTCCCCATGCTGCTCGATGCATGATGTTTCCTGCACAAGCTTTCTTTAGAGGGAAGCTTCCGGAGTGACTGCAGTGAGGTCCATGCTGTTGGGGGTGACAGAGCAGCCCTGGAGGCCCTCTGCTCTTACCCTGGCAGGAGGTGGCCAAAAAGAAGCAGGCAGAGGAAGCTTCTCCAACACGCTTGGAAAGAAATTTCCACATATCACTCACGTCACTCTTGCCACTAGAAGGAAAATTTCTACAGTGGAGTGGAAGAAAATGACTATGCTGTGAGAGAGAATGGATGCATCCAGAAGAGCAAGGCAGGAGGGAAATGTGCCCATTGCCATAATTTTGTGTCTTTTGAAGACATTTGCCAGAATTCTACTTTTGAAGGCTGCCCCTTTTGACAGTCACTTACTGAGGAAGCTGTGGGACATTTTCAAAGCCTTTTATATAGAAAAAAAAACCACAAAATATACTGCTGTGGGTCTGTGTTCAGAGACTACGAAGAGCACAGATGCCACTGTTCTGTGTCGCAGATGCTGTGGGAAGTGCCTTAACACACAGAGGTTTGCTTCATGCAACCGGGTGAGGAACATCTCTAAAACATTTTACAGTCAAGGAAATTCAGTGTTCAGGAGGTTGAATGCGTTATCCAAGATCACACATATGTCCTGACAGATTCGGGGTTCAATGAAGAATTATGTATTTTAATTAAGAATTATGTATTTTGATTAATAATTATATATTTTAATTTCACATTTTAAATTTCTGCAGTTTTCTTCCATCACTTTTCACCATGCTTTCTACACTTGGAATTACTTTTTTTGACTTCTTGATCTTCTTTACTTGTATGTTATTGATTTTCTACAAGTTTTAACATATATGATTAAAGAGTATTTCTTAATGTTTTAATAATTATCCTAGAATAAAATATATTTACTTTGATGTATGCATTGGATATTACAGTGTATTGTGTACATTTTCAAACACTTTGTGTTATACCAGAAGCATTATTCAACAGTGGTCATTTTTTTACCTGAACTATGTTCAGAAAATCTTTCCACCACAGTACAAAAAGATCGACTTCATTTTGTTAACAGATGGATGTGCCATAGTGCAATTAACTGTTTAATTATCCTGTTATCCTGTTGTGGATATTTAAGTTCAAACAATGCAGTAATAAATATGTAAGAGTGCTTTTAGACATTAAACAATGTGGCTCTAAATTAGGAACTAGTGCCTGTAATCCCAGCACTTTAGGAGGTCGAGGTGGGTGGATCACCTGAGGTCAGAAGTTTTAAGACCAGCCTGGCCAACATGGCAAATCCCCGTTTCTACAAAAAATACAAAAATTAGCTGGGTATGGTGATGCGCACTTGTAGCCCCTGCTACTCGGGAGGCTGAGGTAGGACAATTGCCTGAACCCACGAGGCAGAGGTTGCAGTGAGCTGAGATCCTGTCACTGCACTCCAGTCTGGGGGACAGAGTGAGACTCTGTCCCAATAATAAATAAATAAATAAATAATCTAGAAGTACAATTGCTTAGCCAAATTTCTTATGCATTTTGAATGATAAGAGTTACTGCCTAATTTCTGTTACAAAGGCTATGGTAATTTACACTCAAAACACAGAATAGGTTGGTTGTTGTCACATATGGAGTCTTACTGTTGCCGAGACTGGAGTGCAGTGGTGTAATCCTAGCTCGTTGTAGCCTCCAACGCCTAGGCTCAAGCAATCCTCCCACCTCAGCCTCCCTCCCAATTAACTAGGATTACAGGTGCATGCCACCACACCCGGCTAATTTTATTCTTAGATATGAGATCTTGCTATGTTGCCCAGGCTGGTCTTGAAATCCTGGCCTCAAGGTGACCTCAGCCTCCAGTGTAGCTGACATTACAGGCGTGAGACACTGTACCTGGCTGAATGAGTGCCTCTATCCTGACACTTGTGTCCCCACGGGATCCTGCAGAATTCAGGACCCTGTCCACACAGGGGAAAACTCTCTGTTGCAGTCCTGATGACTGAGAAGGGAGCTTACCCATGGCTCTCTTGGTCATTTTTATTTAATAGTGAGCACAGAACCTCACATTTTCTGGAATGTTCCCATATGATTTTGTGAGAGAAAAGAGAATAGAGACCCCAACTCCAAGCTCACTGTGTCAAAGGGAAAATTAAGCTTGGGAACTGAGTTACGCAATACTGCCTTCCTTGTTCTCAAACACATAGCCATAACTTCACAACCCTGTGTCATAGCCTCATCCATAAGCCAGGTTCCCACAGTGACAGAAGGCCACATGTCTCCTCAGATGTCCTCCCTCACAATTTGCTGTGAACCCCTAAATCTTTCAGAATGCACATCCCACCTGTAAACTATCCCTAAAAGTGAGTCGGCTCAATTTCACCCTGACAATCTCAATTACCAGCTTATTTTCATAGTTCTGGGACAAGGTCAGGACCAGAAATCATCCCTCTGCCTACCCTGAGATGAATGAATCATTGAGTTTTCCTCTACTCCACTCCCTCTATTCACATGCTTACTTTATCTTATGTAAAATGGAGATTTACTGAATGTGAGATGAACGCATAACTGTTTCCTCTGCTCCCTCCTTTCCTATGTAAAATGTAGATATCCTGATGCTAATCAGAGCCACACAAGAATGCAAGCATTTGCTTCACTGCCTACCTTCAGTCTCATGGGAGTTCTCTGGATTTCTTGTATCAGCATGTGGACCTCTTTAGCAAGATTGAGGACAGTTTCCTGAATTATATCCTCAAAAACATTTCCCAAGTTGCTCACTTTCTCTTCTTCTCTGTTAGAAATGCCAATAAGTCATCCGGGCACAGTGGCTCATGCCAGTAATCCCAGCACTTTGGGAGGCCAAGGTGGGAGGATCACCTGAGGCCAGAAGTTTGAGACCTAACTGGCCAGCATGGCGAAACCCCATCTCTACTAAAAATACAAAAATGAGCGAGGCATGCTGGCACACGCCTGTAATCTCAGATACTTGGGAGGCTGAGGCACGAGAATTGCTTGAACCCAGGAGGTGGAGGTTTCAGTGAGCCAAGATCATGCCACTGCATTACAGACTGGGTAACAGAGTGAGATTCTGTCTCAAAAAAAGAAAATTCCAATAAGTCATAGATTTTGTTCCTTTACCTAATCCTACATTTCTCAAAAGTTTGGTTCATTACTTTTAAATTCTTTTTTTATTTTTGTCTGACTGGGTTGATTCAAAGGTCTGGTCTTTGAGCTCTTAAATTATTTCTTCTATTTGGTCTAGTCTGTTGCTAAGGCTGTGAACTGTTTTTTGAAATTCCTATAGTAAATTTTTCAATGCAAGAAGCTCTGCTTGGTTCTTTCTCAAAATGGCTATGTTGTCATTCAAATCCAGGATCGTTGTTATGGGGTTGTTGTTGGATTTCAACTTTCTGTTGGATTTTGGTGATTTTTTTTTGCCACTTATATCTTGAATACTATACCTGTCATTTCAGACGTTCCATTCTGGTTAGGACTCATTGCTAGATTGCTGGTGTAATCCTTTGGAGGTGATGGAACATTCTGGCTTTTTGTATTGCCAGAGTTCTTGTGATGGTTTCTTCTCATCTGAGAGACTTGATGCTTCCTTTGTTGAATTTGCTATCATTTGGAAAGAGTTTTTTTTTTTTAATTTTTCATTCTTTCTTTCTCTTAAGGGTATGACTGTGGTGTATGTTGTATAGGATCATTTTGCTTCATTTCTGGGTACTTTCAGAGGACCAAGGCTCTGTACAAGTTCCTTGGTTGCAGATAGGCTCCTGTAGTGGCTTGGTGTGGTGATGTATTTTTGTTTGGTGGTGTAATTCAGGCTTCAGTCCAGTAGAAGGTGCTTAAGAGTAACAGCTGGCTGCAGGGTCTTCTCCTCTGTGTACTTGTCCTCGACAGGTGCAGAAGTGACGAAGTGCCAAAAGCACCCTGTCCCAGTGTGTACTAGTCTTCAGCAGGGGCAGAGCTGCTGGAGAAACCTAAGAAGCAGCCTCTTTCAGCCCACGTTCCTTGGGCCCCAACAGGATGACCACTGCTGGATCTGCAGCAGTGCACTAGGAAGGGGACAGAGGGCAAGAGATGACCACCTCTCTAAATCTGTTCCCAGGCTTTGGTGTGCCCCTTTCAGCAGCTGATATCGTGATCATGTTTCCTTTGACCCAAGGGGTGGCTTTGGCAAGCTGTATTCCTCCTTCCCTTAGGGCTGGTCCTCACCAAAGTTTAGGTCTCCTGGGGAATGGGGTTCACCTCCCTCTTGTTTCTTGGAGCTGATGGAGTACTCTCTCAACTGACCAAGGGAGCAGGCTGAGACACCCAGCAATGACACACACAGACCAGTTCCAGGTTGCAAAGCTGTTCTTGGCTGCAAGTCTCACCATCCTTGAGAAACCTCTGCTTTAGCAACTCTCTTCCCACTACAGTCCTGCAAGAGGAGAGAGCCTAATTCCAACACTTACTGCTGGGGCACTTTCCACACTTAACACTCAATTCTGGCTGTTGAGGCTGCTCCTCTGCTCCAGAGCAAGCACTCCAATTCCTAGCCCAAGATTAAAGTGTCTGCAGTGGCCACCATTGCCAGGCACCAAAAAATGATTGACTTTGTATGAGCCCAGATTAAAAAGGTCATCCTTCTCTCAGTCCCAGGTCTGGGGAAATGCCTGCAGCTTTTCTGAGTGTCTTTCCTCTTTCCCCATCTCTCAGCCACTTTTGTGCTAGCTCCAAGGCTTGGGAGAAACAGAGTGCTCTCCCTTAATCTGGATTGCACAGATCCCCAGTGAAAATGTGAGTTGCAGAGGGAGACTGGCTGCTCTTCTCTTGTACTGGAGTTTCACTCCCTTTTATGAACCAAATGCTATCACAGAGTCTGCTTTCCCACCTCCCCCTCCACAGGGTCTGGAGTGTTTTTCTGTATTCCTGTGAATTCCTATTTTTCTTCTTGAATTGAAGCTCACAAAGTTTATCTTTATGCTTATTTTTCTACTTCCAAGTGGCTGAGGCACACTGAAAGCCCCTAATCCATCATTCTAGGAAAAAAGGATGGTTTAAATAAAGGAATGTTCACATAAAATATATATTAATTAGTGCAAACATATTTTATTTGACATGAGTTAGGTGAATCTTTGATACATTAATTAATTTTAAAATTGTTAAATAAAATTAGAAATATCTTCGAATTTGCCAAGGTATGTTTCTCTCCTGGGATTACTGGTCAGTTTTATTTTTTCCTTGGATAGACATTTGAAGCCATAAATCTTGACATAGACCTGATGTAGACCTCCATACCTTTCCCAGATGTGGGACGGAGCAACTGGGACAGGTCCATCCTAGCACTAAGGGATGATTAAACCTAACTTGTAGTCTTTGTACAACTATAAACATGGTTGATGCTTTAAGAGAAAGATCTTGATGGAAAGGGTTAAATGTAAAAATTGATCATATGAATTGGGTCATTCTTATCACACCAAATAAAACCATCAACAAGCCAGGGGGAGGAGGCATTCAGGGCAAAAACACCACTCCAAAAGCATAATTCTCTGCATGCCTGGCTGCTGAAATTACCTGCTTTAAGCTGAAACCAGTTTTATCAAATGGTTACTGAAACAACCTCTTGAACACTAAGACTAGCTTTACCCACCACTGTCCCTCACCTATCAGAGCCTGCCAGCTCTCAAAAACCTTACTGGTGCCAGTGAACTTTCTCAAAGAGAAATACATACCGTTTTTCTCTCTGTCTCCCTTTTTTATAAAACCTCTAACTTTCTCTTTATGTTTTGGACATACTAAAGACACCCATTCTGCATGTATGTGTGAAATTGTAATACTTGTATCTCAAATAAAACATTTTAATTTCAGATGTTTGTCTCTATATTTATTTGACTTTGACAATCTGATATTATTTAGCATTATTTCCAGTCTCCCAAATAATGTCAAAATTTTGTTATGTTAGATAGGAATATCTTGTTATTCAACTTGAAGGTAAACTGCTTGATCAATGCATGTAATTCCTTGACAGATTGTCAGCACCTCTAAGACAACATGTAGATATTGCTCATTATTAACACATTTCATCTTTTCATGATAAATTACAAAAATTTAATTTTCATTTTTAAAATGCAAACCATTATGCCTTGTATTATGGCATTCTTGCGTTACTATAAAGGAATACCTAAGCACTACATAATTTATACTGAAAAAAAAGATTGACTTGGCTCACAGTTCTGCAGGCTGTACAGGAAGCTTTGCATTGGCAGTTGCTTGACTTCAAGAAGGGTCCTCAGGGAGCTTTTACACATGGCAGAAGGTGAAGCAAAAGAAGGTATGTCACATGGCCAGAGCAGCAGCAAGCAGGGAGAGGTGTCACACACTTTTAACAGCCAGATGTAATGAGAACTCACTCACTCTTGCAAGGACAGTGCCAAGAGGATGGTGTTAAACATGAGAAATCAGCCTTCATGACCCCATCACCTCCCACCAGACCCCGACTCCAACACTGGAAATTACAATTCGACATGAGACTTAAAGGGTACAACATCCAAACTATTTCATTCCATCCCTGGCCCTTCAAATCTCATGTTCTTCTCACATTGCAAAATACAATCATCCCTTCTCAATAGTCCCCCAAAAGTCTCAACCTGTTTCGGCATCACTCGAAAGTGCAGTTTCTTCTGAGACAAGGCAAGTCCCTTCCACTGATGAGCCTGTAAAATCAAAACAAGTTATTTACTTCTAAGATAAAATTGGGGTACAGGCATTGGGTAAACATTCCCATTACAAAAGGAGAAATTGGCCAAAAGAAAGGGGCTACAGGCCCCACACAAGTTCAAATCCCAGCAGGGCAGTCATTAAAACTCGATGTTCCAAAATAATCTCCTTTGAAACCATGTCCCACATCCTGGGAACATAGAGCGTTCCCACGATGCATAGGGTGGGCTCCCAAGGCCTTGGGCTGCTCTGCTCCCACAGCTCTTCTACACTGAAGGCATGAGCTGCTGGTGGCTCTATCATTCTGGGATCTGGAGGGCAGCAGCCCCCCTCCCACAGCTCCACTAGGCCGCCCCCCCAGTCAGGACCCTGAGTGGGGCCTCCAACCCCACATTTCCACTTGGCACTGTCCTAGAAGAGGTCCTCTTTGAGAGCTCCAGCCGTGCATAGTCTTCTCCCTGGGCATCCAGCCTTTCTCATACATCCTCTGAAATTTAGGCAGAGAATGCCAAGCCTCCTTCACTCTTGCACTTTGCTTACCTGCAGGCTTAACGCCACATGGAAGCCACCAAGGCTTATAGTTTGCACCCACTGAAGCCATGACCTGAGCTCTATCTGCAGCCCTTTGAACCAAGGCTGGAGCTAGAAGGGCCAGGATGCAAGGAACACCCTCCTGGGGGTGGTACAGGACAGTGATGCCCTGGCCCTGGTCCAAGTGGAACAGGAATTAAAAGAAATTAAAGAATGTGTAAGCAGAAACTCAGTTGTATGTGAGAAAACCCAATTCCCCCTGAGAAAGAGAAAGAGCTGGAGCCCTTTAAAAATTAACTGCCTGTTTTTCTGTGGCTAGTGAGCTTCATCTCTCCTTCTTTCCCAGGCATTGTGAAGACCCTGTTTCCCTAGCTGTGCAGCTGCAAGGTCACTAGACAGATAAACTCAAGTCATAAAACATGTTTTTCCTTGAAAAGTAAGAAATGATATAATGCATGTCTCAATTAATTGAATAACTGTCTTTGTTTCTCGCTTCTGTAATATGCTTCCCCCTGCACAGATCTCCCCACTCCCCACCACCCCACAAAATGCTTAAAAGTTAACTTAAGTCTTTGTTCAGGACTCAGTCCTTTGGATGTTAATCTGACTGGGCCAGTGCACCTAAATAATAAATATCCTCCTCAACCCCATCAGTCTCTCTGATTCCTTAAAAAATCCCACTACAGCCTGGGCATGGTGGCTCATGCCTGTAATCCCAGCACTTTGGGAGGCTGAGGCAGGCAGATCACGAGGTCAGGAGATTGAGACTATCATGGCTGAGACAGTGAAAACCCGTCTCTACTAAAAATACAAAAAATTAGCCAGGCATGGTGGCAGTCACCTGTAGTCCCAACTACTTGGGAGGCTGAGACAGGAGAATGGCATGTCCCGGAAGGCAGAGCTTGCAGTGAGCTGAGATTGTGCCACTGCACTCCAGCCTGGGTGACAGAGTGAGACTCCATCTCAAAATAAATAAATAAATAAATAAATTAATTAATTAATTAATTTTTAAAATCCCACTACACAAGAAACCATTCTTTCATCCTAGACCTCTAGGTCTGTGCTAGGATGAGCTGCTACAAAGATTTCTGAAATGCCTTCAAGGCCTTTTTTTAATTTTCTTGGCTATCAGCACCTAGCTCTTTTTCAGTTATGTAAATGTCTCTAATAAGTGGTTGCTCCACAGCCTGTTAGATTCTTCCCCTGAAAATGCTTTATCTTCCTTTGCCAAATGGGCAGGCTGCAAATTTTCTATACTTGTATGGTCTGCTTCCCATTTAATTGTAAATTCCAACTTTAAGTCATTTTTTTGCTCCTGTGTCTGAGTGTTCAAACTTCCTCAGATCCCTAGTACATGAACAGACTGCAGCCAAGTTCTTTGCAAAGGCATAACAGGCATGACCTTTATTCCAAGTCTCAGTAAGTTCCTCATTTTCATCTGAGACCGCATCAGCCTATCCTTCACTGTCCATATCACTATCAGCATTTTGGTCACAACCATTTAACTAGTCTCTAAGAAATTCAGAACTTTCCTTCATCTTCCTGTATTAGGAGCAGTCCAAACTCTTCCAACTCCTGCCCATTACCTAGTTCCAAAGTCACTTCCACACTTTCAAGTATCTTTATAGCAATGCCCCATGTCTCAGTACCAATTTGCTGTATTAGGCCATTCTTACATTGCTGTGAAGAAATACCTGAGACTGGGTAATTTATAAAGAAAAGAGCTTTGAAAAGAGGTTTGTATAGCTGCAGGCTGTACAAACATGATTCTGGCATCTGCCTAGCTTCTGGTGAGGCCTCAGGAGGCTTTATTCATGGCAGAAGATGAAGAAGGAGCAGGCAGGCACATCACCTGGCAAGGCAGGGGAAGCACCACACACTTTTAAACAAATAGATCTTGCAAGAATTCACTCACTCTCACAAGGACAGCACCAGGGACAGGATGCTAGACCATTTCTGAGAAATCCACCCCCATGATCCAATCACCTCCTTCCAGACCTACCACCAACATTGGGGGTATCACAATTCAACATGAGATTTAGAGGGAACAACATCTGAGGTATTTCATGCCTCATGTTGTGACTTGGTATAATGTCCATAAGATTACACTGACTTTACACATCATATTGCAGTTTTTGCTAGCTCTTCTGTAGTAAGAAAATGGAATTCATCAGCAATGCCTTCTAAGTCTGGCTCTGTTTTCCCATGCAGACTTTTCCCTGAGCTCTGCTTGTCAGTCTTGCTAGAACCTCACCCTAGGCAGCAACCTCCAGTCTGAGATTGCCCTTGACAGTGGCTGAGGTTTGCATTGTTGGAATGGATTAGAAAAAACAAAGGGAAGACAGACCAAAACACATTTAAATACGGATCCCATTTGTTGAAGTTTTAAGTAATTTTAAATGTTTATTTGCACCAGCTGCCCACTCCCATTGTACTCTCCTCACCCAAAAAGGTGACTTGATATTCTAGTAAAAAGCCAAACTGTGCTTTAGAGAAACCCACTTGTTACTTCTTTAAATCCATATAATTTTGCCAAAGTGAATTTTTGTTAATATGCTCTGGCAGAATCAGTAAACTAATTATTTACACCAGAGTCACTTAACCTTTCCTCTTGGTCATTTGCATGTAAATTATTTTTATATGTATAAAATTTGCTTACTCAAGAAAGCTCTTGCTATATATATATATATTTTTTTTTTTGTGGTATCTTAACATACTCTAGTCTTGTCTTGAATTCCTTAAGACTTTGAGGTAAAGAACTCTCTTGTAACAAGTTTCCAAATCAAAGTGGGAAAGAGGAAGATTAGGTTAAGCATTAGGTCATCAGGTATGTAGGACAGCTAATTCCATTATCAGAATGGTAGTGATAGCCAGTTTGCATTTTGCATATTAGTTGTAACAAAAATATTCAGCATATTAGTGACAAAACCAAAGTTATTGTGAATCAGTTTATAATTTATTTTTTGAGATAGGGTCTTAATCTGTCACCCAAGCTCAAGTGCAGAGGTGTGATCTTGGTTCACTGAAGCCTCAACCACCTGGGCTCAAGAGATCCTCCCAGCCCAGCCTCCTTAGTACAGGTGAGTGCCACCACACCCAGCTATTTTTTTCTCTACTTTTTGTAGAGATTGGGTCTCACTTTGTTGCCAAGGCTGTTCTCAAAATCCTGGGCTCAAGCAATCCTTCTGCCTCAACCTCCCAAGTGGTGCTGGGATTACAGGTTTGAGCCACCGCACCTGGCCAGTTTATAATGTTAATGGCTTTTGGAGCAGGAACCAGTGGGTGCTGCCTCTTGTCTGCAAGATGAGGAGTCTCCTCTCCCCAGAAGTGAGGCATCTTCTACCACAAGGGAGGCTTTGCCCAAACAGTCACCGAAAGGCTGAGATTGGGAAGGGAACAAAACAGGAGTGAATATGTTCCTGGAACCTAACTGCCCCCCAATTCAACTCTACTGCAGACATTCAGAATGAAGGGGACATTCAGCTGAAGAACAGGAGTTAAAAGAACAGCTGTTAAAATCTCAGATTGTAAAAACAATTTTGCTTCATTTTCCCTAAATAATTTTTAAACAATTGTTCTTAGGTGATATTCTAAACTTCGGGTAATATCTGTGACTTAGTAAATGTTCTTTAAAAGATGGGATAATATTTTTATTTTGTTTAATTATATGTGTTTTTAAACTAATTTTATAGGAAAAATAATTTCTTTCCTTCCCTGTTATACCAAATACAGCCTTTAGCTCAAGACACAAGTAATTCCAGGAAAACTGGAATGTAAGTTCAATATGTTGCACTAAGTACATTTGAAAGTGCATGCATTTTTATTTTAATTCATCATTCTCAGTCAACTATCGCAAGGACAAAAAACGAAACACCGCATGTTCTCACTCATAGCTGGGAATTGAACAATGAGAACACATGGACACAGGAAGGGGAACATCACACTCTGGGGGCTGTTGTGGGTGGGGAGAGGGGTGAGGGATAGCATTAGGAGATATGCCTAAGGCTAAATGTCGAGTTAATGGGTTCAGCACACCAGCATGGCACATGTATACATATGTAATGTATACATATGTTAATGCACCAATTCTGCATCAAGTCAGTGCAATCAGAGACACTGCAAGAATGACTTTTGGTTTTCTTTTCCTAGTTTTTGGAAGTTTCTCAAGTCTGTCATACTGGACTCTATATTACATCTCGAATTTTTTTCACTTACTATAGATCTCCTATACGCTCAATTGTTTAGCTATTACCTTAACATTTACCCTGTGAACCCATGACATTTGAGGCTGCCAAAGTGATTATTACATGATAAAACATATACTTGGTTAAAGGCAATATTTAACAATTGTAAAACCAATAAATCAATAATTAAATCTTTCTGGCTTAGACTTAAAACTGCTTAATTTAGTCATATCTCTACCCACAACATAGAGATTCCAACAAGGGTTGAAAGTAGAGTTGGCAAGCATTTCCATTCTCTTCTGGGATAATAATTCTTACTACCAACACTGGTTCTGACCAGTGAAATTCAAAATCAGTGAAACACTACCCAGAGTCTGAGTGAACCAAAAATAGTTTCACTTTAGGAAAAAGTCTATATCCTTAGATGTGAGTGATTCTCTGTGAACATTTTATTCACTTTAATATATTTAAAGAAAATCTTTCTGAATTGGTGTGTTTTCTTTAGTTTGTATTCTGATACTTTAATGCTAAAAGCTCTTGATTTTAAGTTTTCATGGAGGGGCTATCTACATAATTTTTATACATCATTATATGCATCAATAATTAAAAAGGAGTAGAAATTTTTTCACTAATTGAGAAATATTATAGACCTAACAAAATGAGGGCAAACTATAAGCAATTTGGGGAAACTATAAGGATGTAATTAAATAGTCACTGTTTTTAGAAACCATTAACTGCATATTGAAATCTTAACACTTGTTGGGAAAACGAGGTGGTAAATCAACTTGTCAGCATGAGTACTAAATAAAACAAAATATGGTTAAGTTCAGATAGTAGTTCTGCAATTTCTGATTTTAAATGTTTCTGCAAAATAGTTTATCTGAACGATTAAACTATTATTCTGTGTTCACCAACCATTAAGAAAATCTGCTCTATGGCCAGGTTAAACCTGAAAGTGGTACAATTCAAAACTTGATGTAGGCAATAGGTATGTATAATGTATTTATTCTAATATGAGAGGGTATATCAAAGTAATTTTCTTGGAGCACAGTGTCAAAACAAAGCAATGGGATTTGGCCATGGACATTTCATTATTATCAAAGAGACTTGGACACTACCTTAGAGTAATAACTTTATTATTTAACAAAGATGTTTTATAAAAAGAACAACAAAATGAGAGGAATAGAAATCACGCAGGTAAAACAGATAATCTGATTTTGTGGGTCTCAGAGCAGAGATTAGTGTCTTTCAGTTTCAGAGTAAATGACCTCACTGCATTTCTCTGAACTGTCATGGTTGTCACAAATATACTGTGTTCTAACACACTCCATGATTTAAGGTCTACAAAGTAACAAAGGCAAAATAACCTATATGCTCTACCATATTTTCCTCAATTCTAGTGTTCTTCAAAGAGAGAATGTTTTCTCTAAATCTAATTGAGAGTAATTCTGTATGGATCGGTAAACATTTCTTCAGGCAGTTGGAGTAATATGTGTCTAGGGCTAACTCAGAGGGGTCTTTTATGTCTTTTAATAGAAGCTAACTATACTCTTGTGATATGATAATCACCATCATTGACTTACAGTTTCTAAGGTTTGAAGGTATATTGAACACTCAAGGGGCTCACATTCTTACTGATTCATGAATCTCTTCAGGTCCAGGGAACTTAGTATTTTTCAAGAGTGCAAAATGCCTAGAGACAGCTGGGAACAAATGAATGTCATTCCTGATACTGTGCTCATAGTTACTTGAGTTTCATCTCAGAAAATAAATTGTCTGGTGCAATATTTCTTACAACTTAGTTCCTAAATGAACTCAACAAACTAGTTCTTTTGTTTTATTTTATTTTATTACTATTATACTTTAAGTTTTAGGGTACATGTGCACAACGTGCAGGTTTGTTACATATGTATACATGTGCCATGTTGGTGTGCTGCACCCATTAACTCGTCATTTAACATTAGGTATATCTCCTAATGCTATCCCTCCCCACTCCCCCCACCCCACAACCGTCCCTGGTGTGTGATGTTCCCCTTCCTGTGTCCATGTGTTATTGTTCAATTCCCACCTATGAGTGAGAACATGCAGTGTTTGGTTTTTTGTCCTTGTGATAGTTTGCTAAGAATGATGGTTTCCAGCTTCATCCATGTCCTTACAAAGGACATGAACTCATCATTTTTTATGACTGCATAGTATTCCATGGTGTATATGTGCCATATTTTCTTAATCCACTCTATCATTGTTGGACATTTGGATTGGTTCCAAGTCTTTGCTATTGTGAATAGTGCCACAATAAACATACATGTGCATGTGTCTTTATAGCAGCATGATTTATAATCCTTTGGGTATATACGCAGTAATGGGATAGCTGGGTCAAAAGGTATTTCTAGCTCTAGATCCCTGAGGAATTGCCACACTGACTTCCACAATGGTTGAACTAGTTTACAGTCCCACCAACACTGTAAAAGTGTTCCTATTTCTCCACATCCTCTCCAGCACCTGTTGTTTCCTGACTTTTTAATGATTGCCATTCTAACTGGTGTGAGATGGTATCTCATTGTGGTTTTGATTTGCATTTCTCTGATGGCCAGTGATGATGAGCATTTTTTCATGTTTTTTGGCTGCATAAATGTCTTCTTTTGAGAAGTGTCTGTTCATATCCTTCGCCCACTTTTTGATGGGGTTGTTTGTTTTTTTCTTGTAAATTTGTTTGAGTTCATTGTAGATTCTGGATATTAGCCCTTTGTCAGATGAGTAGGTTGCAAAAATTTTCTCCCATTTTGTAGGTTGCCTGTTCACTCTGATGGTAGTTTCTTTTGCTGTGCAGAAGCTCTTTAGTTTAATTAGATCCCATTTGTCAATTTTGTCTTTTGTTGCCATTGCTTTTGGTGTTTTAGACATGAAGTCCTTGCCCACGCCTATGTCCTGAATGGTATTGCCTAGGTTTTCTTCTAGGGTTTTTATGGCTTTAGGTCTAACATATAAGTCTGGAATCCATTTTGAATTAATTTTTGTATAAGGTGTAAGGAAGGGATCCAGTTTCAGCTTTCTACATATGGCTAGCCAGTTTTCCCAGCACCATTTATTAAATAGGGAATCCTTTCCCCATTTCTTCTTTTTGTCAGGTTTGTCAAAGATGAGATAGTTGTAGATATGCGGCATTATTTCTGAGGGCTCTGTTCTGTTCCTTTGGTCTATATCTCTGTTTTGGTACCAGTACCATGCTGTTTTGGTTACTGTAGCCTTGTAGTATGGTTTGAAGTCAGGTAGTGTGATGCCTCCAGCTTTGTTCTTTTGGCTTAGGATTGACTTGGAAATGTGGGCTCTTTTTTGGTTCCATATGAACTTTAAAGTAGTTTTTTTCCAATTCTGTGAAGAAAGTCATTGATAGCTTGATGGGGATGGAATTGAATCTATCAATTACCTTGGGCAGTATGGCCGTTTTCATGATATTGATTCTTCCTACCCATGAGCATGGAATGTTCTTCCATTTGTTTGTATCCTCTTTTATTTCATTGAGCAATGGTTTGTAGTTCTCCTTGAAGAGGTCCTTCACATCCCTTGTAAGTTGGATTCCTAGGTATTTTATTCTCTTTAAAGCAATTGTGAATGGGAGTTCCCTCATGATTTGGCTCTCTGTCTGTTATTGATGTATAAGAATGGTTGTGATTTTTGCACATTGATTTTTTATCCTGAGACTTTGCTGAAGTTGCTTATCAGCTTAAGGAGATTTTAGGCTGAGATAATGGGTTTTTCTAGATATACAATCATGTCATCTGCAAACAGGGACAATTTGGCTTCCTCTTTTCCTAATTGAATGCCCTTTATTTCGTTCTCCTGCCTGATTGCCCTGGCCAGGACTTCCAACACTACGTTGAATATGAGTGGTGAGAGAGGGCATCCCTGTCTTGTGCCAGTTTTCAAAGGGAATGCTTCCAGTTTTTGTCCATTCAGTATGATATTGGCTGTGGGTTTGTCATAGATGGCTCTTATTATTTTGAGATATGTCCCATCGACACCTAATTTATTGAGAGTTTTTAGCATGAAGCGTTGTTGAATTTTGTCAAAGGCCTTTTCTTCATCTATTGAGATAATCATGTGGTTTTTGTCTTTGGATCTGTTTATGTGCTGAATTATGTTTATTGATTTTATGCAAGAATAATCTAAATTTCTCTGGTGAAAGAACCTAAACATGCCTTTTAAAAATTTATATATCATTCCTTTTGTAAAACCTAATGAAAATAACAATTTTGTCTATTGTAAAAGGCAAGTGATCGCAGCAGATGGAAATCACTTTATTTCCTATATCTTTGTAAAGATAATGACTGCTAATAAACAACATGAAGAATTTTCAGGTATAATTTTGATAAAAATTTAACGGTTTTGTGCTTCTAGGCCAAATCTGCAATACAATCCTTCATAAGATTGTACTTTGAAACTCTCGTTGTCATCTGACATATGCAGATAATAGAGAAATATAATCCCCTTTCTAAATGTTTACATTCTCTCCCTGGTACGAATTAGCTTGCTGGAAACATCAGTAATCACTGACATAAAGATCCCACTATTAAATAAAACTGATACTTTTTAAAAACATGCAGCAAATAAGCAACATTTCATAAAACAACACAGGATTTTATATGTTCCCCACTCCATTAGAGGCTATTATGCTGAATTGGATCCTCATTCCAACCTGTGTCCATATTTTAGGGTTGAAATAGTCTAAAACCCAACATTTACTGTTCTCCTGTTGTGATATCTATATATCTAATATGTTCACATTCTCTGTATTCATCTATGTTAATATATTTAAAAAGGAAAAGAAAGGGGGCTTTAGGAAGAACTTTACATCACACGTCAGAGTAAACATCAAATCAAGTTATCAATTTACTAATAAACCCATTTAAGAAAAAATATTCAGCTAGAGAGCAATTAACCTTATTGTCTTTGTGTCTGATCCATATTTCTCCACCTGATACATGGAAATAACCAGAGAGATACTATAAAATACCTCAGGTGCATTGTTGAAAGTAATTTCCTGCTTTTGTGGGATAACTGAAACATAAACGTAAATAAGATAGTTTGAAAGTTCACTTTCTCATCAATGCTCAAATAATTTATTCTAATAAAGCCCAGCAAAACTTAGCTTGTAATGCCATCAAGGTAAATATATTCATGAAGTACTCACTTGCTAAATTTTTAAACACAATACATTATCTCATCTTTAATTTTTAGTTGTTATTTCAATTATCCATTGCTGTGTATAGCAGTCATCAAACTTAGTTGGTTAAAACACAAACTCACAATTTGTTAACTTTGGTTGAGCTCAGGAGGATAATATTCGGAGTCTTGCCTAGGTTTCCTTATATGACTGACAAGGCCTACATAGTCCAAAGTGACATCACTCAAATATCTGGCAGTTCACTGGTGCTATCAGCTGGGTTCTCCTCCACTTAGTCTCTCTAGTAGAGTAGATCAGGTTCTCATTTGGCATTGGTGCCATTTTAATTTGCCAAGCCTAAATTTACTATCATTTGTCAAGTGTCTATTAAGTCAGTGTCAGAGAGGGCTATATAACGATATGGCTATGAGGAGACTTAATAAATCGAGGGTTCTTTGATATAACAGGCTACCCAGTTACATTTCTTGTTCTAAAGATTTTTTCAGATACAACAAACAATATTTTACAATTTAACTTGTAGATGAATGAGTTTCCTGGGATATAATTTAACTAAGCAAACTCTTTCATACTAAAAATCTTATGACCTCTTTACCCATCTTAGGTTTTAAGATTGATATGAGAGGTATTCTGGAATAGAAATCCAAATTTAAGGCTAGAGTCAAGAGTGCTGAAGATAAGACTCTTATCTAAAGGAAAATCAAGCAATTGCTATGTCTTGCAAAGGCCAGTGAGCAGACAGAGGGGAGAGAATGCAATTGCCCCAAATAAAGACTCACTTTGGAACTCAGTGATTATGTGTGTGCATATATGTGTATATATGTATATTATACATGTGTATGCATGTATATATGTATATTATACATATATATGCATGTATATATATGAATATATATAAAACTGAAAACTGCACACATCCCATATACACCATATACATGAAAGTGAACACACACACATACATAAACATATATATTCAGTTTCAAACAATTGTTAGGGAACCTGAGGAAGAAACTAAATGGAATATAATGGTTGCATCTATGATAGCCATGGTACTAGAACTAGTAGTAGTTCTACTAAGGTGAGAATTGACATAGTAAAAGAAATAAGATACAAAGCAGTAAGAGAGAGCTACATTTTCCTTAAGGCCAGGCTGAATATTCACTAACAAGGAAATTTCTACAGTCATTATTTTAATCTGATTCATTCTCTTGGTGGGATATTCCAGAGTTACCACCTACAGAAATTCCACTTTTCCTTACTGAGGTTTTCTTTTTTTTCTTTTCAGTCCAAATATTAGTCATTTTGGTAGAGAAGGTAGAAACAATTAACAATTGAGTAATTCCTCAAGAATCATGTTAAAAGGTTTCCAAATCATGAATGTATAGTTATATTTTGTTCGCTAGATTTTAACCCACATACCTCACTTGTATAGAAATTATGCTTATTTGGATACTCAGTATATTTCTTCACATAAAGACAAAATCTATAAAATGTACACACACACAGATGCTATGGATACATGCACACATGTGCACACACAAATATGTATACATGGTTTACCATTATTTTCTAGATCATTCAGAGGTCAGTATTAATTAAAACATCATAGATCTATGGCAAATTTTGGGCCACTTCTCCTAAGACAGGAATTTAAAAAGCCTTCAATTGTCATAACAATGGGAAGAAGTCTGAGAGCTGGAGTAAGGGAAGTTGGTGCTCAGAAATATTAACTACCATTTATATAGGATATCCTTATGAGATAATCTTAAAGACAAATGAGGCTAAAATAGTAATACGAGTTATTTAGCCAAGTTTTCCAGCAGGAAGAAGGAAATAAGCAGTGAACTAAAAAGCATACAAGATACAGAGGAGCAGGTTAATTGAAGCCATTGCAGCAGAAATTGAGAAGAATAAACAGGAGTTAGAAGATGAGAGCAAGCAATTGCAAGTGGAGTGGGCTGAGCTGGAATTATGGTGTAGAAAATGACTGGTTGAGAAAAACCCAAACAAATATTTCTATAATGTCATGTGCATAAGATACCTGTAGATGTTATCAAGGTATATACATAAACTACCTGTCATTAGAGCTAATTTCTTAGCAAATTATTCATAAAAGTTTATAACTTTGTGAGGCATTACGGACACCAAAACTAATGATTTGGCATTTCCATGGGCCAATTTGTCTAAAGAACTATCTTTTACACTTTACTGTTTTTTAATAAGCAATACAGTGCTCAAAAAGTCTTTTATACCAAGTCCAGTAGGTTGATAACATTGAGTATAACTGAGCATTGCTTTGTGTCTACCCTCAGGCAAATCTGGAGATTTTCTCAAGCTTCTTTATGAAAATGGAGAAACCTCACAAGAGATGCTAATGGACAGCTGACCCTGCTCCCTGCTCCATCACAGGTTGTAGAGTATTAATTCCCAAGTTACCCAGACATTTAGTTGTGAATGTGCAAAAATGGTTTAGGTTCAAATGTTTTCAACTACTGACAAGCTCAAGAATTCAGAGGAGGTAGTACTAAGGGAAATGTAATTAATATATAATATCAAAACTTAAGCATAGCACCATAACACCTAATTTTTGATGATGTCAAATACTTAAAGTTCTCCCTTTTTATTTTCTGGTGAAAGGTGCATAGTATACAAACCTCTACTAACTTCTTGGGCTTCTGAATAAAGGAAAGGACTACCTAATGACAGTAATAGCTTGACTGCTGAAGAATTATGTCAATTAACAAAAATTGTTTCATAGGAAAAAGATGAATTGTCTCTTCAAAGTTTTTTTTAAGCATGGGTGACCAAAACCATCACATACTTAGAAGAAAATATTGCATTGATTTATACAAGATATGCTGTACACGTTACAGAAGATTCGTGTTTAATAATGCATCTTGTAAAAATCTTAGAGAGCTATAACCTTACAACATGACTTAACCCAAATACATTGAAAACCCCTTGGATTTAGACCTACAGGGAGGTGGTTTTGCTTTCTGTACCATAGCACGCATAGTTGAAGCAAACATATTCCTTCAAACATAATACTCTTACATAATAGAAAGTGTTCTCTGTTTTCTGGATGAAAAGGCATGAGGTCTTTTGTATTAGCAAACTGAAATTGTTAACTATAAAAAGTCAAAAATCAAAGGTGCTCTCACGTATTTATAAGGACCTTGAATGGCTCAGATTCATCAGGAAAAAAAAAAAACATTCCTGAGAGTCTGATCTCAAGCTGATGTTTCTTTATTGAATTTGATTCTAAACCATCATTTTGTTGAATCCTCTGTGCTTTCAGAATGCTGAAATGTAAAATATTTTTAACTTATGAAAGAGATAATTTATTTTTATTTTCTCCTATACATTTTTTTTTCTCAACATGGTATTTATTTACATTTTTCTTTTATTATACTTTAAGTTTTAGGGTACATGTGCACATTGTGCAGGTTAGTTACATATGTATACATGTGCCATGCTGGTGCGCTGCACCCACTAACTCGTCATCTAGCATTAGGTATATCTCCCATTGCTATCCCTCCCCCCTCCCCCCACCCCACCACAGTCCCCAGAGTGTGATATTCCCCTTCCTGTGTCCATGTGATCTCATTGTTCAGTTCCCACCTATGAGTGAGAATATGTGGTGTTTGGTTATTTGTTCTTGCGATAGTTTACTGAGAATGGTGATTTCCAATTTCATCCATGTCCCTACAAAGGACATGAACTCATCATTTTTTATGGCTGCATAGTATTCCATGGTGTATATGTGCCACATTTTCTTAATCCAGTCTATCATTGTTGGACACTTGGGTTGGTTCCAAGTCTTTGCTATTGTGAATAATGCCGCAATAAACATATGTGTGCATGTGTCTTTATAGCAGCATGATTTATAGTCATTTGGGTATATACGCAGTAATGGGATGGCTGGGTCAAATGGTATTTCTAGTTCTAGATCCCTGAGGAATCGCCACACTGACTTCCACCATGGTTGAACTAGTTTACAGTCCCACCAACAGTGTAAAAGTGTTCCTATTTCTCCACATCCTCTCCAGCACCTGTTGTTTCCTGACTTTTTAATGATTGCCATTCTAACTGGTGTGATATGGTATCTCATTGTGGTTTTGATTTGCATTTCTCTGATGGCCAGTGATGATGAGCATTTTTTCATGTGTTTTTTGGCTGCATAAATGTCTTCTTTTGAGAAGTGTCTGTTCATGTCCTTCGCCCACTTTTTGATGGGGTTGTTTGTTTTTTTCTTGTAAATTTGTTTGAGTTCATTGTAGATTCTGGATATTAGCCATTTGTCAGATGAGTAGGTTGCAAAAATTTTCTCCCATTTTGTAGGTTGCCTGTTCACTCTGATGGTAGTTTCTTTTGCTGTGCAGAAGCTCTTTAGTTTAATTAGATCCCATTTGTCAATTTTGTCTTTTGTTGCCATTGCTTTTGGTGTTTTGGACATGAAGTCCGTGCCCATGCCTATGTCCTGAACGGTAATGCCTAGGTTTTCTTCTAGGGTTTTTATGGTTTTAGGTCTAACATTTAAATCTTTAATCCATCTTGAATTGATTTTTGTATAAGGTGTAAGGAAGGGATCCAGTTTCAGCTTTCTACATACGGCTAGCCAGTTTTCCCAGCACCATTTATTAAATAGGGAATCCTTTCCCCATTGCTTGTTTTTCTCAGGTTTGTCAAAGATCAGATAGTTGTAGATATGCGGCGTTATTTCTGAGGGCTCTGTTCTGTTCCATTGATCTATATCTCTGTTTTGGTACCAGTACCATGCTGTTTTGGTTACTGTAGCCTTGTCTTCTATACATTTTTAAGTAGTACCTTAAAAACTAGACAAATCCATACAGGGTCAAAAGAACTCAACTGAATTCTCTATCACTGTGAAAATAGACTTAGTTCTTCATTACAAAAGCACTACAATAACTACAAAAATTATATCTCCTGGAGTATATATTTACATATCCATGCAAAAGGGGAATAGATTAAAAGATGTTTATGAATGTCTAAAACCTTAAGTCAGTTTAAGTTTAACGTAGTATTATAAATCAGGTTTGTGGGTGATATTTTGTCTGCTTCTAGACTTGTGAGCAAGTTATTAAGTTTTAGGTTACTTATATTTAAAATTCAAAAAGGAAATGATTGTGATTGCATTCAAAGAAAGAGAGGATATTTTGAAGCTTCTTTTTTTTTACTAATATCAAAACATAATATCACATTTGTAAAACACGTTGATGGCTTACAACCAAGTAAAATACCTCAATACCCCACTTTTCAAGATCAGTAATATTGGCCTATGAGTATCCCTCTATAGGAATTATAAAAAGTTGTATTTATGCCCTGAGATTATACCCTATAATGTGCAAACTTTATAGGATAGACAAGTGGATATAAGGTTTCTTTCTAGGTTTCCTTATATACTCCAAATGGTAAAACTAGATGGAAGATTAAAATTCCAAATGTTGTTAATTTTAGAACCTTCAATGTCAGAGTTACTTTGTATGAATGAATTTACCTAATTTTCCACACTATGCATGTCTAATAGATATTACCATTGCACAGGTGAGAAAACTGCATCTCTGATTATTATTATTCACTCTAGTCACAGAGATAAGAAAGGGCAAAATATCATAATAGAAGCCCAAATAAGTCTTATTTTAATGGAATATTTTTCCACTGGACTTCAACTGGTTTATCTTATTTATCCGTCCATCTAAGATCAGTTGAAAAAAGAGACTTGCAGATGCAATATTTTAGCCAATATATCCAATCTCCTATTTGAAATCTCCTGCATATCTAACAGAAAACTCAAATTTAGTATGTCTGAAATCAAGCTGACTGCTGCACGTGTTCACACTGAAACAAAGCAAAACAAAATTCCTTCAACAGCTTTTCTCATCTCAATAAATGGTACTACACTGTGCCTGTATGACTCATGCCCAAAACCTAGAGGTCGACCTAGGTTCTTTTTTTCCCCATGACTCTCCATTTCCAAGATTTCCAATTCTTCCTTGAACACTTCTCAAAGCCACACCCATCTCTCTGTCAGAATACCACAATGCATTGCAAATCTGCCTCCCCACTTGTCATCTCCTCCCTAAATGCTCTATTTTCACAGTAGTCTGAGTGGCTTTTTTTTTTTTAAAGCACACAAGATCTTGACTCTTCATTCCCTACTTTCTGCTTTAACTCCTTGTTTGGCTTTCCTCTGCTAATATAAAGAAAAATTTCCAACTTCTTTTTAATGACCATAGATCCTGGCTTGATGTTTTCTACCTACCTCTCCAACCACATGTCATACACTTCCCTTCTTTTCTTATCACACCCAAAACATTCTTAATTATTTCCACAGTCTTTGTGTATGCCAACCCTTTTTCTGCCTCTAGAATTTTGTGCTTGTTTCTCTTTCTTTCTAAAATAAGCTTTCTGTGGCTTTTTGTAAAATTAGATCATTGTTCTTTGAAATCTCGGCTAAGAAGTTTTCTGAAATACCTTAATTAAAGTTCCTTCCCTGGTTACTAGCAGTCTCCTCACTTTGTTTATTTTTATTGTAATCTTTAATGATTGTTTTCTATTTGTTTGATTTCTTGATCAACTCAAATTTGTATCCTCAGCTCTTATCAAAATACTAGGTAACTACACACCTATTAAAACAACTAAACATAAAAATAGTGACAACAAAAGCTGGCAATGATGAAGAAACTGTATCATTCATACATTATTTGAATTGTAAAATGTTATAATACTCTGGAAATAATTTATCAGTTTCTTTAAAAACTAAACATATATTTATAATAAGATCCAGCAATTGCACACCTGGAAATTTATCTAAGAGAAATGAAAACCTATATGCGATCTTTAATATCTTTCATAGCACCTTTAATTCTAACAGAGAAAAACTGGAAACATCCAAGATGTTGGAGAGGTGAATGGTTGAATAAACTGTGGTATATCTATATGATTAAATACTACCCAGAAATTAAAAAGTATATACTTTTGACACATGCAATAACTTGCATTGATCTGAAGGGCATTATGCTTAGTGAAAAAAAGCAAATATCAAAAGGACACATGGCATATTATTTCATGTATATAACTTTAATAAAATAACATACATATAGAAAACAGATTAGTGATTTCCAGAGGTTAGTGATGGTATGGGAATGTGAGATGAATATGGCTATAAAATGTGAGGAAGACACTTTTAGTGATGGAAGAGTTCTGTAACTTAATTGTAATAATGGTCACATTAATCAACACGTGATAAAATAGGCATAGACCTATGAATTCACATTGTATAAATGTCAATGCCTGGTCTTGATATTGTACTAAATTATACGAGATGTAACTCTTGAAATAAACTGTGTAGAATAGTACACGAGACCTCTCTGTATTTGAAACTCCCTATGGATCTATGATCTTTTCAAAATAAAAAGCTAAAAAATGCTAAGTGTTCAATAAATAAAATAGTAACTGTATTTTATCCAATTCTTACCATATAAAAATGCTTCACATACATTAACTCATACAATTCAATCTATAGCAGGATCACATTGATGCCATTATTAGTCCTAATTTATAGCCTAGTAGCTTGTTCAAGGTCACATAGCTAATAGGAGGAAGGGTTATGATTTTAATCCAAGCAACCAGCTCCAGAGAATGTGCTACCAACTGACACATCACAGCATTTCTCAAAAATAATTCTGGATGGAAGGAAAGAAGGGAGTTAAGGAAGGAGAGAGAGAAGGAAGGAAGGAAGGAAGGAAGGAAGGAAGGAAGGAAGGAAGGAAGGGAGGGAGGAAGGAAAGAAGGAAGGAAAGAAGGAAGGAAAGAAGGAAGGCTGTAAGGGAGGGAGGGAGGAAACAGGGAAAGAAGGAGGGAAGGAAGGAAGGAAGATACAATAAAGGAAGGAAGGAAGGAAGAAAGAAAGATACAATAGCCAGTATATTTACTCAAAGAGAAGACATCATAAAACCCTTTTAACAAACACAGCCTGACTTCTCAAATTCCCTCTCCATTCAACTTCCTTGACTGTAGAGTCCTATTCAGGGTCAAGGGAAGGAGAAATCAAACTAAAGATCATAACGCTGCATGTATGTGGCATTGTATTGCCAGAGTTCTCTGAGTAAACCTTTCTAGAGATGCACATTTTGCACTCTATTGGAAAAGTTATCTTAATTATAATGTTTCTGAAGATGCATTTGCCATACTGAAAGCAAGCAGTCACATACAATTTGGTAGACACCAGCACAAATGACAAGAAAAACTTGGTAAAGTTGAAGAGACTGCCTTTGTTATATCTAATATTCTATCACCCCAGATCTATCTTCTCAAATCTCCACATTACTTAGCCTAACCCTGTTTTTCTGTTTTCTAGAGGAACCCACCACATTGATCAGGTTGATTTATTCACATTTTCCCAAAAATGCTAGGTAGATTCCTTCCTAAATCCATTAGTAAGTTATAGTCTGTATTCCCCATGGATGAACTGTGTTCACCAGTTATGACTCTTAGGAGGAACTTCATAGAAGATCTTCAGTGGCATCTATTGGTACATGTTGGACATTAACTAAAAATGTATAGTTTTAGCAACCAACAGATTCTATTCTTATACCTGTTGGTCATGTCCAGGCAGTTATGTGTAAAATAATTACACAATGTTTCAAAATTTCAAGATGTTTGCCTACCTATATAGTGTCCTTCACTCTCCTCCCCAGCTCTCCAAATAATATCCATAATTCAAAGACCAGTTAAATCCTACAGGCATATTCACAGAATAACTGCCCTGAAAACATTGCTTAAATTAATGAAGACCATCTATGGACAATGCATCTTCAAGAGCTCAAGATCTGGTGAAAAAACGGAAACAAAGAAGAAATTTCAATACAATGTGATGAAAATTTTAAATTATTTCTCTCTTGCAAATTTCCATTGCTTGTTTGAACATTCAGGAGAATAGTACTGCTTTCCCATTGAATGTATAAATAAATGTAAGAATGAAGGTTGGCCCTCCCTCCAAATTCATTAAACATTAAATTTTTTAAGTAAAAGATAAGAGGGCTGTATGAAAATTAAAATTCATGATTACTTCCAATATAGAAAATAATTGAAATAGATAAAAACACAACCAAATAGAAATGGATATTGCTAAAAATTACCTTCTTAATTAAATTAGTAAAAAAAGTGAAATTATTGTTCTATCCATATTGGTGACATTGCTTCTTAAATTATTCAAATTAAAATATATTCTACTGGTGAGTTCAGGAAAAATTGACAATAAAGGAATAGTATCATACACAAAGAAATATAACTCACTGTTTTAGCCTAGCAACTAGTGTTTACAGAACAAGTTACAGATTATTCTGCAATATGAAACAATCCTAAAGTGTTTTTAACCTTAAATCAAAATTCAAATTAGAATTAGAAATGAAATGATGTTCTCATTTCAGCAATGAATACAGAAGTGAAATCACTTGATTTTTCTGAAGACTGTATTTTTCAGTGTTCATCTAGATTTAACACTTTAAAGAATACCTTTTATTCCTTAAATAACATTCAGTTTGTGAAAGTAAGCACACCTTTTTCAGCTCCGCTTATTCTGCGGAAGGATCCTTCCATATCAAGGATTAACACAATATGCATCGTGGGTTCACAAAGTTCAGTTTGCAGCTATCCTTAGCAAATCATGGAACCATCTAGACTGATTGATGTGGAGATTGAAAGTAATTGATCCTGCCATTGAGAAGCTTTTTGAAACATGAAATTAAACAAGATGATATTAAGCATTCTGAAGTCCAGCAGAGTGGCACATCAAATGTGTTACTAGCTGTTCCTTTTCCTTTGTATTTTTATAAAGACCCTTGGCTGGCAGAATGGAACAGAAATAGAAGCTAAAAGATCTAGATATTGATGTAGTGATCAAAGGCATACAGCTGGTTTACTTTGTTATAATAATATTTTATGTGGTACATGAAGACTTTGATCCCTTGACAAATGTCATTTGTAGGTGAGCAATTATTAATAGGATTGTAAGTCTTAATATGCAAGGATCACCATTAATAAAAGTAGATTATTGTAAAGTGAATTAGCAATAATTTTACTTATGAATAAAAACTTATACTATTTCAGGTCATTTTCTTATTGTTTCTTGAAAAAAGAAGTCCTTTATAAGTCCAGTTAAATATTACCTAATTTTTGCATCAAATTTCATGGTAAACAAGGCTTATTTTCTTACTTTACTGATGTCTAAAAGCTAAATTTCACTGGTGATATATCATTTGTTTAAGACTAGGTAACTGATAACCTAAGCTGAGACCCAAAATTTGTTATTTTCTTTATTTACAGCACAATATTTTCCATCATGGTATATTACATCTTGCTAAAGAAGCTATGTTTCTTTAGCAAGACAATTGAAAAGCATAAACATTGGTTTACTAGAAAGATTTTTAATATTCCATATTATTTACAACTGTTTGCTTATTTCCATGTATAAAATGACATTGATTCAATAGACTTCTTCCACATTTGCATGATATTCAGCTATAACACTAACTCAGGCAATATTCATATGGCTCCAGAATTAAACTGGTATCTGACCTCCCAATTGAATTAGAAGATAGGCATTTTGTGATTTGAGGAAGACATCCTGTGAATTTACAAATGTCCAGAAAGTTATACAAAAGAAAAACAAAATACTTTAGTCTAGTTAAAAGTAGTGCTACTATTTCTTGAAATTCTGAAAGCTGTACTAAGTATCACTCCTAAATCTGGGGATAAAGTACAGAAAATGGCATCTCCCAATATAATCTTGGACATATTTGTCATTAAGAAGCACAATGAAATATGACAAATTGTACAGCAACTTTTAAAAATTGCTAATAACTCTTTGTTTATCTCAGTAGTAAAATTTAAATACTGATCCAACCTGACACATATGAACATAACATACCTATTCTGAAAGACAAAGAATATGTATCGATATTTATATTATATTTAATACAAATCATGGAATATAGAATTATAGAATTGTGCCTATTTACCTAGAAAATATTACCCCAGTTTTGTTTTTCTAAGCTTCAAGAGAGATTTCTTGGAGAAAATGAGATTTTATAAGCAATGCTAGCAAAAAAAGATAACTTAAAAGATTATGGAGAAAAAGGCGTATTTTAGATACAAAACACAGATTGAGAAACGCTTAGGGGCAAGAAGTAATGCATCACTGGCCAGTGTAAATGAACCGTTTAGGCAGTAAAATGTGTCCAAGCAAGTGGTGAGTATATCCTGTTCTCTTTTATATATCTAGACAAGTGATTTCAAACACCCACATGGAGCCCTGAGACCCTGGGTGTTCACCTAATGTAAGCCCCAATATAGGAGCTGAGGTCAAGTAATTGAGGGAATATGTCCAACAATCAATGAGCAAATTAGAATGAGCTAACTGTCACACATTCTTACCCTCATCCCTTTGCTGCATTAACTGAGCAAACAACTCTCTCTAACTATGTAGGAAAAGTGTTAGTACTCAAATAAAAAGGTAAATTTAATAATCTGCTTAAGGCTGTATGAAAAAATGAAGCAATGTGTATCAGGTTTCTTCAAATATATGCATATTGCAATCCACCCTTATAAGTAGTTTTACCCTCGATTGTAAGAGCTAAAAGCAGGCCGGGCACGGTGGCTCATGCCTATAATCCCAGCACTTTGGGAAGCTGAGGTGGGCGGATCACGAGGTCAGGAGATCAAGACCATCCTGTCTAACATGGTGAACCCCGTCTCTACTAAAAATGCAAAAAATTAGTTGGGTGTGGTGGCGGGCGCCTGTAGTCCCAGCTACTCAGGAGGCTGAGGCAGGAGAGTGGCGTGAACCCGGGAGGCAGAGGTTGCAGTGAGCCGAGATCACACCACTGTACTCCAGCCTGGGCGACAGGACGAGACTCTGTCTCAAGAAAAAAAAAAAAAAAAAGGAAACATTCTGCAAATGTTGAATTTAAATGCATATTTCTGCTTTCATATAGCTTATATGATAATAAAGCTATATGCACCAGCAGATATATTGTTTTATATTATATAACATATTATACATATTTTACACTGGATAATGGATAAATGGTACCTATTATGTTGGTGACCACAATTTTGGCAGCCTTAGAAAAACTTCAGGGCCGGGCGCGGTAGCTCACGCCTGTAATCCCAGTACTTTGGGAGGCCGAGGCGAGCGGGTCACGAGGTCAGGAGATCGAGACCATCCTGGCAAACACGGTGAAACCCCCTCTCTACTAAAAATACAGAAAATTAGCCAGGTGTAGTGGCGGGCGCCTGTAGTCCCAGCTACTCGGGAGGCCGAGGCAGGAGAATGGCGTGAACCTGGGAGGCAGAGCTTGCAGTGAGCCGAGATTGCGCCACCGCAATCCAGCCTGGGCGACAGAGCGAGACTCTGTCTCAAAAAAAAACAAAAAACAAAAAACAAAAAAAACACTTCAGAGCATAAGCCAAAACAATTAGAAATAGCATGGCTTTAAATTAATTTTTCAAGGATCTTAAGGTGACAAATATTCTGTCATCTGTCATGCAAATCTAGTTCCACAGAAGGGCAAATTAGGAATCCATT
Organism: Homo sapiens; assembly: GCF_000001405.40. Classification (NCBI taxonomy): domain Eukaryota; kingdom Metazoa; phylum Chordata; class Mammalia; order Primates; family Hominidae; genus Homo; species Homo sapiens. The sequence goes on from NT_187374.1 coordinate 146,183, forward strand.
ACCTGGAATAACCATTCCTCATGCCTAGAAGAAGAATCTCTACAAGCAGGATTCTTGCTTTCAACATGCCCTTATAAATTGGAGTCAGACTGAATCATTTTTTCTTGGCAATGGACAAGAAAATCAGACTGTAACTACCTTTGTCACTGAGAATTGGTCAACCATTTCAAAATAGGTAAGTTTTCTCCCCCTGATGTTTCTACTGGGGCTTGAAGGATTGATAAATATGCTTATATTCTCTGTCAGAATTTTGAACTAAGGGAGAGATAAGCAAAGATTCAGGCAGATGGAGATCAAGATGGCAGGTTTATTTTTAAAGGAGCTATGGGGAATCTTTGTGGTAACAATAGATTTTTTCTGTTACTGTGGACACACATACCTTCCCAGCCACAAGTGGTGCTAGACAACTGCACACCTCTCCATCCCACCTCCCATCCCAACAGATACATAGGCATTTTCTTCAGATGTTGATGAAAATAATTATTTTATCACTACATCCAGATAATTCCAACAAGCAATATGCTTGTTGAGGTGAAATAATTTTTCTAAGATACAAACAGAAAATATATACGATTGAAATAGACACTAGGTGATATTTCACATACACAATATGAGCTCTGTTTCTTTGACAAGACAGATGCATGAAGAATTCATGTTTGAATGATTGGCATTAGTCTAAAGTATTAAATAATGAAATTGTCCATATTCTCTGCCCAGTATGATCTTTTAAAATATCATCCACACAAATACAAGTGAGGTCATATTTTTTACAATGAGGCATCAAATTTAAAGGCAGCAAAAAAATAATGAATATACCTCTTAGGCTAATTGTTTACCTTAGTGGCTTTAATGATATGGAAAGTTGAAGTTTAGAGTGAGAAAAGCACCAAAAAAGAAAATAATCAGTCTCCTGACTTTCATATCTGGTAGTCTTAGAATGAATGTCAGAACTGTCACAGGTCAAATAATGGCCCAGTATGTTTTCAAATAAGTGACACTGAACACCATGTTTTAGAAGTGCATGATTATCCTTCTTGATGTTAATCTCACAACTTAAGGACATGCTTGCCAAACATCATAATTTCTCTTAATAACTCATATCAGATAAATCTCCAGTGGAGACCTATGCTCTGGACTCCAGACTTATGCCAAGTAGCCTAATTACTATCTCCACTTGCAGGCAAAATAGGCATCTCAAAGTGAACATACCTCAAAAAGAGCTCTTAATCTCCTTCTACTATTCTCCCCACTTACCCAGCATCTTCTCCATTCTCACCTTCTCTCATCATGTTCCTCATATCAGGAGGTAATAGACTCCATCCTTATAGTTATACAGTTATTAAGCCACAAAACACCCTGTTTATACCCTTGGCAGCCCTATTTTTTTTTTTTAATTATACTTTAAGTTCTGTGATACAGGTGCAGAACATGCAGGTTTGTTACATAGGTATACATGTGTCATGGTGGTTTGCTGCACCTATCAACCTGTCATCTACATTAGGTATTTCTGCTAATGCTATCCCTCCCTTACCCCCCACCCCCTGACAGGCCCTTGTGTGTAATATTCCCCTCCCTGTATCCATGTGTTCTTATTGTTCAACTCCCACTTATGAGTGAGAATATGCAGTGTTTGGTTTTCTGTTCCTGTGTTAGTTTGCTGAGAATGATGGTTTCCAGCTTTATCTATGTCCCTGCAAAGGACATGAACACATTCTTTTTTATGGCTGCATAATATTCCATGGTATATATGTGCCACATTTTCTTTATCCAGGCTATCATTGATGGGCATTTGGGTTGGTTCCAAGTCTTTGCTATTGTGAATAATGCTGCAGGAAACATACATGTGCATGTGCCAACCCCATCAAAAAGTGGACAAAGGATATGAGCAGACACTTCTCAAAAGAAGAAATTTATGCGGCCAACAAACATATGAAAAAAAGCTCATCATCACTGTGCTGGGTCCATCCCGCAGACCCTGGCTGAGCAACAGAAGAAAGGAGTACTCAGACACAAATATACAGGGTAAGAGCAGGCTAGGAGGCTGCGAGCACTAGGGGCAGAGGAGAGTTAGCAGTCTCAGTAAGACAGAGCTGCTTGTATTTATTCAGTACTGGTATAACGTCCAAGGCCTGGAGTCAACACAATTGCTGGGTAATTAACATTTTTGCTCCCTCTTACAGGGAGCAGTCTCATGCTCAGAAGTTCAAAAGTCAGTTTCCTGATGACATAAGTAAACAAGCCTATTTAGATAAACTTCTTTACTTTTCCTTGCACCTACTTCTCACCCTTAGCCTCAGAGAAAGAGAATTTTCTTCCTTCACCTTTATTCTCTCATGAAGCTTTTGCAAGACCTTCCAACCTTTCAAGAAGGCTTGCGTCTTTCCTTATAGCTTCTCCCACCACCCTGACCGATCTCCCACATCACTGGTCATTAGAGAAATGCAAATCAAAACCACAGTGAGATACCATCCCACGCCAGTTAGAATGACGACCACTAAAAAGTCAGGAAACAATAGACACTGGAGAGGATATGGAGAAATAGGAATGCTTTTACACTGTTGATGGGAGTGTAAGTTAGTTCAACTATTGTGGAAGGCAGTGTGGCGATTTCTCAAGGTTCTAGAACCAGAAATACCATTTGACCCAGCAATCCCATTACTAGGTTTCTACCCAAAGTATTATAAATCATTCTACGTTTTTTTTTGACATGGAGTTTCACTCTCGTCATCCAGGTTGGAGTGCAATGGCATGATCTTGGCTCACTGCAACCACCACCTCCTGGGTTCAAGTGATTCCCTTGCCTCAGCTTCCTGAGGAGCTGGGATTACAGGCACCCGCCAACATGCCCGGCTAATGTTTGTATTTTTAATAGAGACGGGGTTTCACCATGTTGGCCAGGCTGGTTTCAAACTCCTGACCTCAGGTAATCCACCCATCTCAGCCTCCCAAAGTGCAGTGATTACAGGACTAAGCTACGACTCCCAGCCACCCTCATTTTTTTATAGCTCATACTATGTTAACAAATTTTATCAATAGTAATTCAAAACATCTTCAGATTCTGTTCCTGTCTCACCACCATCACTACCACCCTGATTCAAACCACCATCTCTCCACTCTCCAGTTAGGTTTACTGCTATAGCCGCCTAACTGGTCTTCCTACTTCCCTGTAGCCCCTTGCCTTCAGTCTATTCTAGTTTCTGCAATTAGGGTGATTCTTTAAGAATATGTCAGACGGAGCCATTCTTCTGTTAAAACCCTCCAATGACTTCACTCTCCATCCCACTCAAGGTATTAGTTTCCTCAGGCTACTGTAACAAATTACCACCAACTGAGTAGGTTAAAATTACAGAAATTTATCCTCTCACAGTTCTGGAGGCTAGGAGTTGAAAGTAAGGTGTCATCAGGGTCATGGTCTCTGAAGGCTCCAGGGGAGGATCCTTCCTTGTCTTTTCTTAGCTTCTCACAGTTGCCATCAATCCTTGGCATTCTTTGGCTTGTAGTTACATGACTCCAATCTCTTCCTTCATCTTCACATACTTTATCCACTATGTGTTTTTCTAAATATCCACGTTCTTACAAGCACACTAGTCATTTGATAAGGGCCCATCTGAATCCACTTAACTTGACTGACTAGGCAAGATTTTATTTCCAAGTAATGTCATATTTACAAGTACTGAGAGTTGGGATTTGAACATCTTTTTGGGGAAGACATAATTCAACCCACAGTACTCACATCCCAAAGCTCCTTACCATGCACACATCTCCAGTCCTTTGGTATTCAAAGTGTGATACACAGACCAGTAGCACCAGCATCCCCTGAAACTTGTAAGAAATATAAACTCTCCAGACCACCTGAATCAGAATCTTTATTTTAATGTGAAACCTAGGTGATTTATATGCAAATTAGAATCTGAGAAGCATACCCCTCAAAACAACCTGCCTACTTTTCTTATTATTTCATCTGCTCCTCACTCCATATCACTCTGTCATTACTCTGCTTGTGTCATATTGGCCTTTTTGATATTCCTGTAGTGCCTGGACTATTCCTCCCCCAGATATTTGCATGGGTTATTTACTCACCTGCACCAGATATAAAGATACAGTTATTATATATAGTGATATATAATTATACATATATTATCACACATATATATAACACAGTGCAGTTGTTCCTGGATAATCTATTTTAAATATACATCCTATCAACCCCATTCTTCTTCCTTGCTTTTTCTAATTCAAACGTATTTATTTCCACAAATTTTTATCCACAGCTAAATATTACAGTGACTATTCCAAGCATTTTTCTATAAAGAAAGGTGTAGTTTACAGATTTGTTCAAAGTGGAAAAATATTTTCATCAGTAGTCTTTCTTCCCTGGTGTTAGGTTCACCCCTGAATGTTCTGAACTCTTCCGGAGAGGCAGTCCTTCATCTAAATGTCAGCGGGTGGCAAAATGTTATATTCAAATCTGGATTATTCTGATACAGTGTCACTTCAGAAAGTAGCTTAGTTTCATTTCTGGTTGATCCCCTTTGTTAGAATTAGGAATTTTTTTTTAAAAAACAATCTTTTGTATGTAATGACCTTTATAATAATAATAAATCCTGCCCTGTGTTTGTCATTGGCATTAACCTCTGTCTACACCCTCTAATTCTCTAATTATGGCTCCAGTGGGTACAAAAGGTGAATTATGGTTATTTGGCTCATGCAGCAAATTAATTGGAGAAACTGATGACAAATAGTCTGTGAAGAACTACAAGGTCTTGCCCCATGCTGTCCCATTTTAGTTACCATTTAGTTATGTAGGCATTATACAAATGCCTCAAATTAGGACATCTTTGCTCTCTCAGTAGGTCGAGTTTATGAAAATTTACTTTATGCAGAAAAAATAAATTCTAATTTATTGGTTACCAGAATCTTAATGTATGAAGGTTCTAAGTAAATATTTGATGAATTGATGGTAGCAGCGTTAATTTTTAAATGTTCCAAGCTCCTAGTTTTTTTTTTTGTTTTGTTTTTGCAAAAGCCTTAAAGTTTGGTACTAAGGAAATCAAAGAATCAACTCCCACCATCATGCTTCAGGAAAGGGAAAAATGTCTACCTTTGGGTCTAACCTGCCTCCCAGGTGAGCCTACTGGTACTAGAACTGTAACTGCAACTATGATGGCACAGGGAAAATGCATGTATGTAATATGCTTGTCGGCTTCAGCAACAACTCATGTATACATACACATTTACTATATGTAAACAGGTCCTGTATAATACTTAAAACACAAGTGTTTGATCTATAAATATTTGATTCTTAGTATTTAAAATGCTTCTAATATTTTAAAAGACAAAACTCCACCATGATATCACATTGAACATTAAAATTATTCCCACAGCAACACTTATTTCAGAGAAACAATTGAGAAGTCAGTTATCTTAGTCACCACTAAAGGCACCTGGTGAGAAAAGCTGAACTAAATTTTAAATATTAAAAAATTAAAGAGACATCTAGTGCAGAGTTCAAACCTTTATGTTGAATTGTTTGAGTCGTTACTGATTTCATGATGCTGATAAGTGTTTGAGTTGAAATGATTTTTTAAAATGCAGAGAAAATGCTAACAGAATATTATATAGTTCCCCTAAAGATGCTTCTTCTAACCTCCAAGTATTAAATAAGACTGATCTAAATGTTAAGTACATATAAAGTATATATTTGCTAGTCATCTATAAATTTTAAGTACAATTCCAGTGATATACCTGTATCTTTTGGAAGAGAAGAACTAAACCTGCCGTTTCTTAGGCTAAATAGATGATTCATAAGGTCCTTCCCTCCCCATTTATTCTGATTGCCAAGCTTTTGTTCAGTAAGCTCTTGGCATCTAGTGATTAACCAGTGACAGCAGACAGTAGTGACCAAGAGAGATGGAGAGAACGATGGTGTAAGACAGTATATAAGGACAGTAAGCCACTGTATTTGTGGAACCACTGCATGTCAAAACTCCTTAACACTCTAACAAAGCATTTTTGGTCTTTTAAGATTAAGGACAGTCCTTACATAAGGGACTCAGTTTCAAACTAAAGTGCATCAAAAAGCAAATTATACCCCACAAACAACTTTAAAGAGGTAGCCACAAACCCAGTTGTTTTAGATTGGCCTTCTAAATGAAGTCAGCACATGGATCCATGTGTGAGTGTCATGGACGTCAGTGATTATGTAACTGTAACTGAAAGAAAAAGGCACAGCTCTGCAGACACCCAAGAGAAGCTGGCATGTTTAATGTGGATGTAGAAGGGATAATGTCCATGGCAACTGATTGGAACACAACTGTCAGCAGCCTCAACACAGGCTAAGACTGGGTTAAGCCCCAGGAGATGCAGAGAACGACTGAGGAAGCTGTGCTCTAAGGGGACATTACAGAAGGTAGCTTGGAGTGTGCTGTGTTTCCGAGAGCCTTTTAAGTTGGGTGGTTGAGTAAAGGAGGGTAGAGGCAGGCTGTTCTACTTCCAATCCATGGATAAATCTCATTTTCTCAATGTAATACAGAGGCTGTTCTTCTATGATTGGCAAACACTATTTGTTCTTATCATGGAAACAGCATACTGCTATCAAGAAATAGGGAAAAGACAGTAAAAAAATGTGTGGAAAGAATATGGAATAAAAAATTTTATTATGCAGCCATAAAAAATGATGAGTTCATGTCCTTTGTAGGGACATGGATGAAGCTGGAAACCATCATTCTCAGCAAACTATCGCAAGGACAAAAAACCAAACGCCACATGTTCTCACTCATAGGTGGGAATTGAACAATGAGAACACTTGGACACAGGAAGGCGAACATCACACACCAGGGCCTGCTGTGTGGTGGGGGGAGGGATAGCATTAGGAGATATACCTAATGGAAATGACGAATTAGTGGGTACAGCAAACCAACATGGCACATGTAAACAAATGCAACAAACCTGCACATTGTGCACATGTACCCTAGAACTTTAAGTATAATAAAAAAAGTGTGGAAAGAATAATATGGGTTTCTAACTGAATGCTTGCTTTTGAAGAGCCCAAAAACAAACAAACAAAAAATTCTAAGAGCAGCAAACATCTACGCCTGTTATGTTACTGAATTATTCTTTTTTAAAATCCTTATTTCATAGGAGAGATATTTACAATTTTGAATTACAAAGTTTGAAAAACGTTGAAAATAACCTGAAAGGGGAAAGTTGACCTAAGCCATTTTATTCTCTTAAAAAAACCCAAACTTTTGTATAATAGTAATCCCTGAACTGAGTATTTTTGAAGGTTTTTCAGATAATCTGATGTGCGAGGTTAGTTTGTTTTACTATTCAGTTGTTTGGAATAGTAGAGCATTATATGAGGCTCTTACTGGAGGCTTAATGGTATTAAGAGATTAAAAGCTTTCACATTGTTTGGTTTTCACATCTATAAATAAAACAAGTTATTATCATTTTGTAATATTTAGCTTATATACATTTTTGTGAGAGTTTTGTGGGACTTGGAAAGTGTATGGACTAGCATCAGACACAAATTATTTTTCCATATTTCTCACTTGGAGTTTCAGATAGCAGCATTTTAATCATCTCTTCCATTAAACCAAGATTACACAAAAGCGTTTGAGGACACTGAGGACTGGCACTTCTAATTTTGCTTCAGAAACCAGTACTCAAAATGTCTGGTTTGGAGGTCAGTTACACTGCTGTCTTTGTATAATCAGCCATTAAAAAATATTTTGGGGACATTTCTCAGAAGTCTCATCCCCATATTTTTGTTCTTAACACATCTCACCACAAACTCTACCACACCTATGGTTTGCAAACTTTGGGAAATGTCAGTATATGCCATTATCATGGTTATTAGTACTATTATTTGTTAAAAGCACTTTGAAGGCAATTTATGTGACTTATATATAGTTAGTATTTTAATCTGGACATTCTCCAGTTATATGCAAAGATTAAAACTCAGCAGCTTCATTTTACAGAATTGGCATCTTTTATATGGCTATGGGGACTGCTTGGTGTCTATAAATTATAATGTATATTTGTTGGACTGAAATCAAACTTAAAATGTTCCACATTTCAAGTGTTTTTATTCTGAGCAGTACTTACAAAAAATAATGCCATAGTTGTGTCTAATTCTGTATAGTTCAGCACTCTCCACAGGCTGTCAATCTCTGATTTGATCTACTTTTACCAGATTTAACAGATCCTTGAATTTACTTTACTGTCTACGCTTCCTTTTTGCTCACATTGGGAATCACACTAAACATGCATCTACTTCATTGAGGAACTCCAGATTGAGACATGCTGGGATTGACTCCATGGTTAGGGAAGATGGATAAAATGGAAACAAAACAGGAAACATGTGCTTGGCATCTAATAGCAGTTGCTGAGGGTCATTCTGCTCTTGTAGTTGTGCCTGGATCGTTTGTATAAAGGCCACTGTTACCTGTTCTTCAAATTCATTCAGGGGAGGCTAAAGGTTTAAAATTTGGACAATCTGCTGGGTGCTGAGAGAGGCACACAGGGAGCAGATGGCCTCTGCATCCTCCTGGGTTTTCTTCTTTAATTGCAGGAGCTGGGCTGCTTCGATCAGAGGTTCCATGGTCTGAACTACTCCACTCTGGTGAAGGTTTCTTCCCCAAAGCCACTCCTCAAGCTGACTTATATTGTACCTGAGTTGCATGCCTGTGCTCCAAGAGCAGACGTCCTTCCGCAGGAGCAGGTCATTAAGAGTCACTGCGTTGATCATGTAGAAGAGCTGTTTGAATACCTACAGGATGATCTCAGGGTCCAAGCCCTGGTCACACATGACTGTATGAAAGGCATTCATCTGGCGGATGATAGCTTCCAGGCGGTATGAGTTATCCTCATCTGCCATGCTGGAGGAGTGCTTCTGGGAGCCAGTGGGCTTCACACCAGATAGACCCTGAATGCTCTAATTTTCCAACATGGCAGAAACTATCATCGGCTGTAACACACCCTCGGCAATTTTAAAGAGGTGCTGGTAGATCTGAATGGAAAGGTCGCTCAGTACCTGACGGTATTCGGTGAGGTCAAAGTTCTTAAGGCAGTGTTCGTTGTGCTTTGCAGTATTCTGAGTCATGAAGCCCTCATCCCCGCTGTACCGCTTCAGACAGTGAAGAAGGTGGCAGGTGTTGGATAACAAGAATGACGTCATCTCAAAGTCATCACTGTGCTTCTTCAGGACTTCCTTAATGCCGTTGGTGGTGGAGGTCATCAGGGAGTGCACCTTGAGATCATCATTGGTTTGGTCCGCGAGCCGGATGCACATGTAGAGGATGTAGGCGGGGATACAGGGCACTGTGTCCAACAGCATCTGGGGCTTCAAGTCTGTCACCAGGTTGAGGATGAGGAGGGCCTCGCCCTCTTTGTGGCACTTCAACATGCCCTGGAAATCCTTTTCTTTCCACTGAACTGTGACCTGCCTGTTGAACTCATGGCACTTCCTGTCACTCTGGGCCAACGCCTGGGCAGCTTCTTCACGTAAATCTTCAGTTGCTTTTAGAGCTTCCTCTCATTCTTTTCCTCTTACTTTATTTTTCACCACAGAACTTCCTATCAACTAGTATGTTGAATATTTTGCTTATTAACTTTGTTTATTGTCTTCTCCCTCGATTAGAATATTAGCTACTTGAGTACAAGGATTTGAGCCTATTACGTTCACTGCTGAATTTTAGGCTCCTGGAAGATACCCTGCATTCAATAGAGACCACACAATAAATATATGTCAAATAAATGAGTCTGTAAGTTCATCAATTTATTTGCCCATATGCATTAACTTTTGCCCATATACATCCATATACATCCCATGCATACATATACATGCCCATACATCCCATACATCCATATACATGCCCATATACATCCATAACAAGAGTTATTACTCTTGTTATATGAAATCAACTGTACTATTTGCTTCATGTAATAGTTTAAAAATACACATGTGTGTATATAAATATATACAGAGATCATAGACCTAACTCCGTCTATATATGTGTGTATGTGATATATATAAATATATACACACATATATGACTGACATATATATATAAATATATACACACACACATATATATGACTGACATATATATAAATATATACACACACATAGATATGACTGCTATATATATCTATCTTGTGTAAGTGGAATCAGGCAGTATTCAAACATACTTTCAATTAGTAATGACTATAGTTTAAATAAGAGAAAGTTTAAAGATTCTGATAGTTTAAATAAGAGAAAGCAAACATCACTACTACTAGTATTTGGGGAAAAAGATTACAAATAGAGATATTATGATAAAAGTGTACAATATTTTTTATGTTTGTGCACTTAGATCCATGTTCAAACTTTGGCTCACCTATACATGTATAGCACATTGGAATATGTGCTACAGTATGCCATTTATAAAGACTGAAAATAATAGTTTATAAACATTATTATTTATTTAGCAACCTCATAAGCTTGGTTTCAAAAATACCTGAATTACATAGCATAATCCCAGTGCTGGAGAACAGAACAGTAGCTGCCAAGGGTTAGGGTTGGTTGGAAGATGTGATTAGTGAGGGTTAATGTGAAAACATGTACTTTGTTTGTGGTGATAGAGCAGTTCTGCATCCAGATTATGGTAATGGTTACATAAATCCACACTTCATAGATCTATATACACACATCACACATACATTCAAACACATCTGTACATGTAAAATCCTTAGAAATATAAATAGGGTCTGAACCTGAGTTAATGGTATGGAAACAATGTCCATTTCCTGATTTTGGCAACGTACTAGGTTAAGTTAGATATAATCATTGGGGAAAGTTGCCTGAAAATAGCATGGTCATTCATTTTACTTCTTTTTTTAACTTCTTATGAGTCAAATTATTTTAAAACAAAAGGTATTAAGCAAAGACAAAAATTTGAAAGTTCAAAAATCAAAGCCCATATGAATTTGGACATATGATTTGATTTCTTTTGTAGACCTTGATTTCTTCACCTGTAAAAATGGAATAATAGTATGATTCCTATCTCATTATTGTCATGCTTAAATCATACCACTTATGTAGGTGCCTGTATATATATATATGTATATATACATACATATATATGTATGTATATATACATATATATGTATGTATATATACATATATATATGTATGTATATATACATATATATGTGGGTGTGTGTATATATATATATATATATATATATATATATATATATATACACACCCACACATATATCTATATATATGACTGACTTTGACTGACTTAGGTCTATGATTTAAGGTGCGGAAATTGGAATTTACCAGAACATTTGTGAATTGATTTGTTCTTATGCTTCACCAACTGTCATGGTAAAGGACACCTTAGCCCCAGCTCATAGTATGAAAACATGTAAATGCTTCTATGTGCCCTAAATTTCTCTTGGTTAAGCTTTATACTTTTTTTTGTTTATGACACAGAAATATGATCACAAAGCACATGTGTACCACGATACAAATTTCATGTATTTTGTCTCTGTATTATGTTTTCTTTCCATTTATGTCTTTTCAAGCTAACAATTCCTGATCTCCTAATACAGTGGGCCTTTCAAGCACTTACTTCTTTAGATAGTCATGTTCTTTTAACTAGGATCTCACAGATAAAGTTATCAAAGCATGGAAAAGGATGAAGAAACTTGACTCCTTCCCCTCTCCATCCCCCACTAAATTAAATTCATCCCAACCTTGTATTTGTTTTGTTCTCCTGGAAAAGAAAATATAGTCATCACCCTCAATAAATATACAATCTAGTTAGAGAGATATGACTTCAGAGAAGGATTTCTTAGTTTTGATTTTGATTATCTTCCTTTAGATATTTGGAAAGACAAAAATGCTGTATGCTTATGGACTGCAAGCAGTATGAGTGGAAAACAAAAGTAATAAATGTTACTTCTGACTTTATTATAATGTTAGGATTGTTAATAGTTAACAATTACTTACTGAAGGAAGATTTAAATTGAATATTTCTAAATGGGAAAAATTTAAAAAGCAGGTGAGTCCATAAATTTTAGGACCCAGAATCTACTGAGCTAAAAACTCAATGAGAGTTAATTCTCTGTTGGTGATGTAGCAATTCTTGAGGTTATTTGTGAAGACTCACATGAGAGCTAAACAATAAAAGAGGACTGAGACCATTTCAAGGGATGGAGAACACCTTCCTTTCTTGTTCAGATGATGCTCTGAGACATTGCTGTTTATTTTGACTGCCTCTTTTTAAACAAACTTCCACTTAGGAACTTAAAAACCACCTGTAAACCAACAGCCATAAAAAAGTGGGGAACTCAGTGTTTAAGCATTATTGTTCACCAGACACAGTACTGGGCACTTACATAAATGGTATGGTTTAAGCATGACAATAATGAGATAGAAATTCTACTATCATTCCATTTTTACAGGTGAAGAAATCAAGGTCTACAAAATAAATCAAATAATATGTTTAAATTCATAAGGGCTTTGATTTTAGAAATTTTAGATTTTTTGTCTTTAATACCAATTATTTTTAAATAATTTTACTCACAAGAAGTTAAAAAATAGTAAAAAGAATGACCGTCTTATTTTCAGCCAACTTTCCCCAGTAATTATATCTAACTTAACCTAGTACTTTGCCAAATCAGGAAATTGACATTGTTTCCATACCATTAACTCCAGTTCAGACCCTATTCATATTTCCAAGGATTTTACATGTACTCTTGTGTAGGTGTGTGTGAGTGTATGTGTGATGTGTGTGTATAGGTCTATGAAGTGTGGATTTATGTAACCATCACCATAATCTGGATGCAGAACTGCTCTATCACCACAAAGAAAGTACATGTTTTCACGTTATCCCTCACTAATCACATCTTCCAACCAACCCTAACCTTTGGCAGCCACTGATCTGTTCTCCAGCACTAGGATTATGCTTTGTAAATCAGGTATTTTTGAAGCCAAAGCTCATGAGGTTGCTAAATAAATAATAATGTTTTATAAAATGTTATTTTCAGTCTTTATAAATGGCATACTGTAGCACATATTTAAATGTGCTATACATGTATAGGTGGCAAAGTTTGAACACGGATCTAAGTGCACAAATGTAAAAAATATTGTACACTTTTATCACAATATCCCTATTTGTAATATTTTCCCCCAAAAACTAGTAGTAGTGATATTTGCTTTCTCTTATTTAAATTATCCGAATTATAGTCATTACTAATTGAAAGTATGTTTTAATACTGCCTGATTCCACTTACGTAAGATATCTACAATAGTTAAACTCCCAGAAATAGAGTAGAATACTGGTTGCCAGGGTCTGGAAGGAGGGGAAATGGAGGTTGCTGTTCAATGGGTATAAAATTCAGTTATAACAGATGAATAAGTTCTAGAGGTCTGCTGTCAACAGAGCACCTATAGTTAACAAGATTGTATTGCACAGTTAAACATTTATTAAGAGGATATATCTCATGTTAAACATACTTACTTCATTAACAGAAAAAAATGGAATATTTTACACATAAAATTACATATATGCCTGAATTTCACATTTCGTTTCACAAATTGTACTGGTGCTAAAAAGGTATTTTTGTATTAAAAAACATCTAACTGAAGGAAAAGTTACAAATGAGTGATCATTCATAAATAAAATATAATCCTAGGGACCGCTGTTTTTCCATTTTGAATACCCTCCACAATTAGTCTTAATAATTATGTTGGCTGAATGAAAAATAATGATTTCTCAAGAGGCAATAGAAAATAGAGAATAAGTCCATTCTTGAGAAAATTTATAATTAGTGAAAGTAATTTTTTCATCCTCTTTTCTTATTTAAATCTCAAGTACTCTCTGCCACTCTGTGCTCTTCTTTCTGGGGTAAAATATGCCAGCTATCCACAGTCAGGGCATTCTCTAACCACTCCTCCTTAGAGATGTCTACAGACTTTTACTCAGCTAGACTGTCTTGTTGCCTGTCTTCATATCAACTTCGCAAGACGTGTGGACCATTCTCTTAGGCCCCTGCATGGCAGTGCATAATATATTCCATGCTAATTATCTAATGAGGTTCACTAAATTAATCTTTTATTATACCACATAAAATACTCTTAGATCTAACAGTACAAAAATTTCCAATTATGGGCCGGTCGCGGTGGTTCACGCCTGTAATCCCGGCACTTTGGGAGGCCGAGATGGGCGGATCACGAGGTCAGGAGATCGAGGCCATCCTGGGTAACATGGTGAAACCCCGTCTCAACCAAACATACAAAAAATTAGACAGGTGCGGTGGCGGGCGCCTGTAGTCTCAGCTACTCACAAGGCTGAGGCAGGAGAACGGCGTGAACCCAGGAGGCGGAGCTTGCGGTGCGCCCAGATTGCACCACTGCACTCCAACCTGGGCGACAGAGGGAAACTCTGTCTCAAAAAAAAAAAAAAAAAAAAAAAAAGAAGAAAATTCCAATTACATCACTCCTTTGCATTACATCCTAAGACTAATTTAAAGAGGGTATCACAAAAATAGAAATGATAGCGACAGAAAATGGTCCCAATTTTCACTGCACTGTTGCTAAGACCACCTTGCCACTCATCATTATAGAATGCCTTTCAGGTAACATAATAAGAGCCATTTTTAAAATGGAACCTTACTATACCCATGTGTGACAGGCAGAGGGACTCTATTATTATTCATAGTTTACAGATGAAGCAGTTAGATTTGCCCCAGGTCACTGGCTTATTAAATGACAGGCTAAGACAGAACCAAGTTTTATTCTCAAATAAGACCATAAAGAAGAGGATTGATCCAAATGAATTATAAAATTTTCTTACAGCCCCAGTAACAATAATAGATAAGCTAATGATTTCTTTAATAAAAATCTGATATGACAAGTAGAATGTGACAGAATCAACATGATCAATTAATCAGATTTGGGTAGTAGTTTGGTACCTAAATGTTGGATGCTCTTGGACATAAAGATGACAGTATTTATGACGATAAAGATGACCATTCCACAGTTTGAGAATTTCTACAGAGAGAGAGATGAAGAAAATTTCTGGAGTTATTGAAACTATGTGAAGATGAATTATTTGGTTGATGCACTGCTATCATTCTAAATGGACTTCACTTTCTGAAAAAATAACGCATAAGGATGAAATATGTATTGAATGAAAATTATATTTTGTTTTTCCATTTTTTACCTAATAAAAAAATCAGAAAAACAGATTTTTTTTAAAAAAAAGAAAAGATGACTGTAATAGACAATGGAGACTAGTAGAGGCAGTAGAGAGGGCAGCCAGGGTTGAAAAACTACAGGGTACTAAGCTTCATATCTGCATGATGAGATCAGTCATACCCCAAACCTCAGCATGGCACAATATACCCGGGTAACAAACCTGCCTAGACATTTGTGTAAAATGAGACGATTGCAGGGTAGTTTTAAAAGTCATTCCCCTTATGAAAATATGGAATGTTGTGCACATTATTTCATAGACTTTGTGCTTAGTTAAAGGTCTTAACCAAAAATTCTAAATGATTTCTCCTATTAATAAATAGATATCAATAACATCATTTTAATGGGCTCTATGAAGACCTTATTGAGTGATTGTATCATAATTCAACAAGTGCCCTATTGTTGAACACTTAGATTCTTTCTGATTATTTCCCTTTACAAAAAATGCTATATTGTAAATTGTTGTATGTATTTTTAAGTTATGAAATTGTTAGGGCAAAAGGTGAATAAATGTAAGGTCTTTGATAAATAGTCAGAATTCTCTCCATAGAGGATACGATAAAGCATCTTTTCATTTGAAGGAGCAAGAATAACTGCTAAATACTTCTGAGACTTCCAGTACTTTTTTGGTTTTAAGTTTTGTTGTTGTTTATTTGGTTTTTTGGAGGTTTTCTGTTTTGTTTTATAAGTAGGTTTCAGTATTGCTAAGTATTCAGTCATGGTGGATATTCGAAGAATAATTTCTCTCTTTGGGATTATTCCTCTAACACTATGAGCAAGTATCACTGTGTTCTTTCTCTAAAGGAAAATATAAAGCATAGACAAATTAAATGCTGCTCAGATTCTAAAACTATGAAAATATAACAATGGAGAAACAAATAGCAAGTCTGTAGCTACTCAATGACTTTAGCATTGAGTGGATCCTAAAATGCCTATTTTGCACAGAATGAAAAAGATACAGCAGGTTCCTTTGGAAGATCAAAGTGAGAAAATTGACTACAGCTTTAACAGCCTTAAAATAAATACCTAATGTAAATGACAAGTTAATGGGTGCAGCAAACCAACACAGCACATGTATACATATGTAACAAACCTGCACGTTGTGCACATGTACCCTAGAACTTAAAGTATAATAAAAATAAATAAATACATAAAATAAAATGAATAAAAAATAAATACAAACATATTAATCATAAGTAAATGAAACATCTGATAATCTCATTATGTCTGGTAGTAATGTCACCTCTGAGTATTTAAATATTCATCTACATATTTCTTTGCTAAATTTCCTTTTATTTCTCCTTTATATTAAACTTTTTTTTAGAGAGCACAACTCCAAAGCATCTTTTATTAATATAGAAAGGTCATATTTAGCAAAAGACACAAGGCAGGGAAGTGTCAGGCCTGAGGCCTGAGCTGTGCTGAGGGACAAGGAGGCTCCGGACAAGTGCTGGGAAGGGCTGAGTGGTGGGGGCCACAGAAAGTTCCAGTGGGCAACACTGTCGGCAGGTCATGGGTGGGACTCACGGGGACCTCGTTGCTAACTCTTGTTGCGTTGGCGGGGTGGGGTGGGGAGGGGGGTCCTTAGTGCTGCCACCTGGAGTGAGAACCGCCCCTTGGTTCCTGGAGGGCACCCATCAAGGGACACAGGATAGGAAGCCCAGGATGGTTAGTGCAACTAGGGATGAAGGCCAGGGAGAAGCAGGTGCTCTGGAGTCCAGACACAGAGGCCTAGGAACTTCCTGTTAAGTGTGGGCGTTCCGCTCTGTCTCTACCAGGCACTCTGACTAGGGATGGATGATACCTCTCTTCAGGCGCTCCGCAGCGCTCTTGCTGCCAGCATAGGTGGGCCGGATCACTTTGCCCATCTCCCCTGTGACCAACAGCAGTTCCGTGTAGGTACTCTGGGAGCCCTGGGCACCAGGTGGTTTCATGGCCTGCACACAACCGATGGTAGGCGGTCCAAAGTCTTTAAACAGCGGTCTGAAAGGGGCAGTGGCTCCCGGCCCTGAGCCCGACGGTGACGGGACGCTTCCTGTAGGGACCAGAGTGCCTGGCCCAGGGGTGCTGGAGCCGGGGGTGCTGCTGGGGGCAGGTGTGGTAGGTTTGTAGGACATCCCCAACTCCTGGGCACTGGGGAAGCCAGCAGGCTGCTCTTCGGGGGTTGGCTGCGGGACCGCTCAGCAGCGATCTGATTGGCAAGTGGGCTGCACACCCCCTGGTAAATCTATATTAAACTTTTTAACTGCAATTTGTATTAATCTAAATACAGTTCAAATATTCTCCATGAAAATTTCACATTTGAGTTGAGACATCCTAAAATTTAAAATACACAATGGATTTCAAAGATTTCATATGAAAAAAGAACGCAAACTATCTCTAATAATTTTTATATTGATTACATATTGACCCAATATTTTGTATATATATTGGGTTAAATAAAATATACAATTTAAAAAAATTATGCTACATTTTTGTTAAAAAATTTAAATAAACTATATATGAAATTATTTCTTGGGATAGAAAAGGGGACATGATTAAATATTTACTTAAACTTTTTTCAAAAACATATCTTTAAAACACATTTTCAAACACAACAAAAGTATTTTAATTTTGTATAGGTAAAATAAACTTATTCCTGCTGAAATTCAATCATGGCATGATTTCCTTTGTGTGCATTTGAGGACTCTGTTTATAACCCAGATAAAAACATAAAACTTTTGAAACTCTTCTAAGAATGTCTAACACAAATTACCTGTATAGGTATCACGGCACAGACGATGCTGAGGCCGGACTGACTGAAGAAGAACAGGCTGAAGATGCTGTACTCACACAGCAGCTGGCCCCCAGGTTACCCGCCCTTCGTGTACATGGCGATGGTCACCTGGCTCACCAGCAAAGTGAACAACAGGTCGGTGGCAGTCAGCCGCATAACTGTGTAGAAGGTGGTCTCCTTCTGCTCCTTGCGCGACTTGCACAGCACCACGATGGCCACCAGGTTGCCCACCACCCCGAAAATGGACGGTCCCAGGCTGTCCAGCAGATTGGGCTCCAGGCCAAGGACACACTGGCCTGGGAAGGGGTTAACATGACAGTGGCTGGTGGTACACAGCCCTGGAGTGTGAAGCTGAGTCTGGAGATGGCAGAAGAGAGACAAAGCCACCATGAGTGAAATGACCACCTGCAGGGCATTAGACCCGCGCCCAGGAAACGGGATGCTAACATGACAAGGGAGGAACTCAATCCCACTCTCTGGATTGCAACCACTTACCAACGGCAGCCACCCAAATCTCTAGGCTCCCTCTGCTCCTGCCAGCAGCACACCCTTGCTGATCTTAATATTTATAAACTGAGTCTCTCATTCCTCTTCCTCCCCCCAGCCTATCTCACTCCACTGACAAGACCTATCTCCAGGGAAAGGTAGCGCCCTAGTATTATTCCCGACAGATTCTGAGTTAATAAAATGCACATTGAAACCCTGGAAGACAATTTGGAAAGCGCTCTCTTTCCTCCTTGGCTCCCCTGGCAGCGCCCCATCTCCGCACCCTTTGCCCGATGGCCCACATCCCATGTCACGTGTAGCGGCCCCAGTGGTGGGGCCTAAGACAATGAAACCTAAGACTAATTGGTGTACCTGAGGAAGAAGTGAATTCTAAAAGCTAGGAAAACATATTTGGGGGAATAATCAAGGAAAACTTCTGTGGCCTTGTGAGAGACCTAGACATCCAAATAAAAGAAGCACAAATAACACCTGGGAAATTCATCACAAAAATATCTTAGCCTAGGCACATTGTCATTGGGTTATCCAAAGTTAAGACAAAAGAAAGAATCTTAAGAGCTGTGAGACAGAAGCACTAGGTAACCTATAAAGGAAAACCTATCAAACTAACAGCAGATTTTGCAGCAGAAACCTTAAAAGCTAGATGGGATTGGGGCCCTTTCTTCAGCCTCCTCAAACAAAACAATTATCAGCCAAGAATTATGTATCCAGCAAAACTAAACATCATATATGAAAGAAAGATACAGTCATTTTCAGACAAACAAATGCTGACAGAATTTGCCATTACCAAACCAGCACTGTAAGAACTGCTAAAAGGAGCTCTAAATCATGAAACAAACCCTGGAAACACATCAAAACAGAACTTCATTAAAGCATAAATCACACAAGACCTATAAAACAAAAATACAAGTTAAAAAGCAAAAACAAAAAACAAAAACAAAGTACAGAGGCAACAGAGAGCATGATGAAAGAAATGGTACCTCACTTTTTAATACTAATGTTGGTTGTAAATGGCTTCAATGCTCCACTTACAAGATACAGAACCACAGAATGGATAATAACTCACCAACTAACTATCTGCTGCCTTCAGGAGACTCACCTAACACATAATGACCTACATAAACTTAAGGAAAGTGGCAGAAAAAGGCATTTCATGCAAACTGACACAAAAAGCAAGCAGCAGTAGCTATTCTCATATGAGACAAAACAAACTTTAAAGCAACAGTAGCTAAAAGAGACAAAGACAGACAGTATATAATGGTAAAGGTCTCATTCAACAGAAAAACATGACAATCCTAAACATACATGAAGCTAACACTGGAGCTCCCAAATTTATAAAACAATCACTAGTAAACATAAGAAATAAGATAGATAGCAACACAATAATAGTGAGGGAACTTCATTACTCCACTGACAGCACCTGTCAGTCATCAAGACAGAAAGTCAACAAAGAAACACTGGATTTAAACTATACTTTGGAACAAATGGACTTAACAGATATATAAGAACATTTCATCCAACAACCACAGAATACACATTCTATTCAACAGCACATGGAATTTTCTCCAAGATAGACCATATGATAGGCCATAAAATGAGTCTCAATAAATTTAAGAAAATTGAAATTGTATCACGCACCCTCTCAGATCACAGTGGAATAAAACTGAAAATCAACTCCAAAAGGAATCTTCAAAACCATGCAAATACATGGAAATTAAATAACCTGCTCCTGAATGAGCACTGGGTAAAAAACAAAATCAAGATGGAAATGGAAAAAATTTCTTCGAACTGGATGACACAACCTATCAAGACCTCTGGGATACAGGAAAGGCAGTGCTAAGAGGAAAGTTTGTAGCCCTAAACACCTATGTCAAAAAGTGTGAAAGAGCACAAACAGACAATCTAAGTTCACATCTCAGGGAACTGGAGAAGCAGGAACAAGCCAAACCCAATCCCAGCAAACAAAGGAAATAACCAAGATTAGAGCAGAACTAAATGAAATTGACACAGCAACAACAACAACAACAAATACAAAACATGAATAAAATAAAAAGTTGGTTATTTGAAAAGATAAACAAAATCGATAGACCATTATAAGATTAACCAAGAAAAGAAGAGAGGAAATCCAAATAACCTCACTAAGAAATGAAACAGGGGATATTACAACTGACACCACTGAAATATTAAAGATTATTCAAGGGTACTATGAACACCTTTTGGCACATAAACTAGAAAACCCAGAAGAGTTGCATAAATTCCTGGAAAAATACAACCCTCCTAGCTTAAATCAGGAAGAAGTAGATACCCCAAGCAGACCAATAAAGCAAGCAGCAAGATTGAAATGGTAATTTTAAAATTACCAACAAAAAATGCCGAGGACCAGACAGATTCACAGCAGAATTCTACCAGACATTCAAAGAATATTTTATTTCATTCAAAGAAGAAATGATACCAATCCTTTCACACTATTCCACAAGACAGAGAAAGAAGAAACACTCCCTGATTCATTCTATGAAGCCAGCATCACCCTAATACCAAAACCATGAAAGGACATAACCAAAAAAGAAAACTACAGACCAATATCCATGATGAACACAGATGCCAAAATCCTTAACAAAATACTATCTAACTGAATCCAACAATATATCAAAGAGATAATCCACCATGATCAAGTGGGTTTCATACCAGTGACACAGGAATGGTTTAACATATGCAAGTCAATAAATGTGATACACCAAATAAACAGAATTAAAAAAAAACACATGATTTTATCAACAGATGCAGAAAAAGCATTTGACAAAATCTAGCATTGCTTTATGATTAAAGCTCTCAGCAAAATAGGCATACAAGGGACATACCTTAATGTAATAAAAGCCATCTATGACAGACCCACAGCCAACATAATACTGAATGGGGAAAAGGTGAAAGCATTCCCTTTGAGAACTGGAACAAGACGAAGAGCCTACTCTCACCACTCCTCTTCAACATAGTACTGGAAGTCCTAGCCAGAGCAATCAGACAAAAGAAGGAAATAGAGGAAATCCAAATCGTAAAGAGGAAGTCAAACTGTTACTGGTTGCTGACGATATGATCTTTCGCCTTGAAAACCCTACGGACTCCTCTAGAAAGCTCCTAGAACTGACAAAAGAATTCAGCAAAGTTTCCAGATACGAGATTAATGTACACAAATCAGTAGCTCTTCTATACATCAACAGCTACCAAGCTGAGAATCACATCAGGAACTCAACCCCTTTTACAATAGCTGCAAAAAACAAACAAAAAAACAAACAAAACTTAGGAATATACCTAGCAAAGTAATCAAAAGACCTCTACAATGAAAATTACAAAACACTGCTGAAAGAAATCATAGATGGAGCCAAGCACGTTGGCGCATGCCTATAATCCCAGCTACTCGGGAAACTGAGGCAGGAGAATCGCTTGAACCCGGGAGGCAGAAGTTGTAGTGAGCCGAGATCACACCATTGCACTCCCACCTCAGCGACAAGAGCGAAACTACCTCTGAAAAAAAAAAAAAAAAAAAAAAAAACAAGAAAGAAAAGAAATCATAGATGACACAAACAAATGGAAACACATCCCCATGCTCATGGATGGGTAGAACCAATATTGTGAAAATTACCATTCTTTTAAAGGCAATCTACGAATTCAATGCAATCCCCATATGAATACCACCATCATCCCTCACAGAATTACAAAAAAATTCTAAAATTAATATGGAACCAAAAGAGTGCCATGTAGCCGAACCAAGGCTAAGCAAAAAGAACAAACCTGGAGGCATCACACTACTTGATTTCAAACTGTACAATAAGGCCATAGTTACCAAAACAGCATGGTACTGGTTTAAAAATAGGCACATAGACCAATGGAACAGAAGAGAGAACCCAGAAATTAACCCAAATACTTACAGCCAACTGATCTTCGACAAAGCAAACAAAAACATAAAGTGGGGAAAGGACACCCTTTTCAACACATGACGTTGGGATAATTGGCAAGCCACATGTAGGGTAATAAAACTGGAGTCTCATCTCTCACCTTATACAAAAATCTACTCAAGATGGATTAAGAACTTAAACCTAATTCCTGAACTGTAAAAATTCTAGAAGATAACACTGGATAAACCCTTCTAGACATTGGCATAGGCAAGGATTTCATGACCAAAAACCCAAATGCAAATGCAATAAAAACAAAGATAAATAGCTGGGACTTAAATAAACTAAAGAGCTTTTGCATGGCAAAGGGAGCAGTCAGCAGAGTAAATAGACAAATCGCAGAGTGGGACCCCTGACCCTGACCCCTGACCCTGACCCCTAACCCTGACCCCTAACTCCTGACCCAAACCCTAACCGCTATCCCCAACCCTAACCCCTAACCCCAACCCTCACCCTAACCCAACCCTAACCCCTAATCCCTAACATCTCTTAAACCCTAACTCTAAACGTTGACTCCTAACCCCTAACTCTGACCCCAATCCCTATCTCCAACCCCTAACCCTAAACTTAACCCCTAACCCCTAACCCTAACACCAACCTTAACCCTAGGTTCGTTACTACGTTTGTATTGACTATGTCAATGTTGATTATTATGATCGCTGTCTTTGGACTGCACGGCAGCGAGGCGATTGCGGATCTTATATTAATATTTTTGTATTGAGGCAGTGCATTAGCATTACAGGTGCTTGTTACATGAGCAATGGGGGTGTCATACTTTGGGTGTCATGTCTGCATTAGGAATGCCGCATTTGTCTTCCGAGGCTGCGGTGTGGATCTCGCACTGCGGCCGCCTCGGCTTGGCCGGGGAGAACCTCGGTGGGTAGGATTCAGAGGGGCTTTTGGTTTCCCGTTTTCCACACTGAATCCTTCTAACTGGTCTCTGACCCTGATTATTAAGGGCTGCAAACAGGAAGGATTTTATTCACCGTCTATGCGGTCCCGAGTAGTCCCAAAGCGAGGCAGTGCCCCCAAGGTCTGTGCTGAGAACGCTGCTCTGCCTTCGCGGTGTCCCCCGGGTGTGTGCTGAGCAGAACGCAGCTCCGCCCTCGCGGTGCCCCCGGCGCGCCCGCCCGGGTCTGTGCTGAGGAGAACACTGCTCCGCCTTCGCTGTATCTCCGAAGTCTGTGCAGAGGAGAACTCAGCTCCGCCCTCGCGATGCTCTCCCGGTCTGTGCTGACGAGAAGGCACCTCTGCCCTCGCAAAGGGAGAGCGCCCTTCGCAAAGGCAGAGCGCCCTTCGCAAAGGCAGAGAGGCGCAGACCGCCGGCGCAGGCGCGGAGGGGGCGCAGGGCGCCGGCGCAGGCGCGGAGAGGCGCAGAGCAGGGCAGGTGGCACCAACAGCGGGTCCCTCAGGCCTCGAGCGCACGCATTCCAGTGGCCACCCAGACCATGCTCCGCCGACTGGGCGCACAAGCTGCAGTCGCCCTCTGTGTGCAGCAGCAGCTGCCTGGCAACCCCCGAGCCCGCTCGCGCTGCCAGCATCGCAGAACCAGGGCCAGGTGTCCCAGTGGCTGCGGCCAAGCCAGGCATTCTGGCCGGCGGCGGCGGCTGCACAGGAGCGAGAACTGAGAACCCGCCGCTCAACCCCACACGGGTGACTGCCGAGTGCCCATACCAACGGCCCCGATCTCCCTCAGGTGGAGGACTGGGCGGGAGGCACAGCCTGGGGGCCCTCAGGCTGGGCGCGCTGGCGATCCCGAGGCCGACCAGGCCATGCACCTCCAGCTCGCCTGGGCACCCAAGCTGCAGCCACCTTCTGTGTGCAGGCAGCAACCTCCAGGCAACTCCCGAGTCCGCCCTCACTTCCCACATCTCGGAACGAGGGCCAGATGTCCCTGTGGCTGCGGCCAAGCCAGGCGGTCTGCCCTGCAGCAGCTGCACGGGGGCGGGAACCGGCCCTCAGCCCTATCCCCCGTGGCTGCAGAGGGCCCTTGGCTAGAGGTGTCGAGCTCTGGCAGAGGAGGAGCCGGGCGGGGGCAGGGTCTGGCGGGCTCTCAGGCCAGGGGCACTCGCGATCCAGAGGCCGCCCAGGCCATGCTCCACCACCTGGGCGCCCAGCTACAGGCGCCAGGCAACTCCCAAGCTGGCTGGCGCGCCCAGCCTCGCAGACCTGGGCGTGGATGTCGCCGTGGCTGCGGCCAAGCCAGGCGGTCTGCCCGGCGGCGGCTGCACCGGGGCAGGAACCGACCCTCAGCCCCATCCCCGGTGGCTGCGGACGGCCCCTGGAGAGGCCCCGACCTCTCTTCGGAGGAGAAGAGGGGCGGGAGTCAAGGACAGGCAGGCCCTCAGGCGGGAAGGGATGCGTGCCTGCGATTCCGGGACATACCGCGCCAGCCCAGGAGAACCCGGAAGCCCGCAGCGCCTGTTTCTCTGTGTGATTCTGTGAGGAACCACCAAATTGTTTTCCACGGCAAGTGCATCATTTTCTATTCCTAGCAGCCAGTTCATAAGGGCTCCAATTTCTCCACCTCCTTAGCAACACTGATTTTCTGTGTCGTTGTTATGAAAGCCTTACTAGTGGATGCAAAGTGGCATCTCATTTGGGTTTTGTCTTGCATTTTATTAATGAATAACGGTGTTTAGCATCTTTTCTTGTCCGTCTTAGACATTTGTGTATCTTCTTCGGAGAAATGTCTATTCAAGTCCTTTGCCTATTTTTTAATTGGGATGTTAGAAATTCTGACGTTGAGTTGTGGGATATTAAGCTTTTATCAGATACGCACTTTGATTTTATCAGATACATATTTTCTCACATACTATGGGTTGTCTTTTAACTCCCTTGATAGTATCCTTTGATGCATAAAGGTTTTTTATTTTGATTAAATCTAATTTACGTGTATTTTCTTTTGTTATCTGTGCTTTTCTGTCATATTTCAAAATACACTTAAAACTCAAAGGTCATAAAGGTTTACCTTGTGTTTTCTTCTAAGAGTTACATACTTTAGTCCTTACATTTAAGTCTTTTATTAATTTAGAATTAATTTTTGTGTATACTGCAAGGTAGGGGTCTAACTTCTCTCTTGTGCACTGACATCCAGCTGTTGGAGAGACTGTTCTTTCCTCCCTTGACTAGACTTGGACAGCTTGTTGAACAGTCATTGACCATATATGTGAGCACTAATTTGTAGGATCTCAAATCTGTTCTATTTTATTGGTCTAAAAGTCTATTAGTCTTATGCCAGTACCACACTCTCTTGATTACTGTAGATTTGTAGTAGGCTGTGAAACTGAAAAATGTGAGTTTTCTAATATTCTTTTTCAAGACTGTTTTGTCTGTCAGATCCTTTGAATTTTTGTATGAATTGTAGAATGAGTTTCTTTCTTTCTGCAGAAATGCCTTTGGGATTTTGATGGTACTGCATTGAATCTGTAGATTACTTTAGATGGTATTGTCATCTTAACAATATTGTCTTACAACCCATGAACACAGAATGTCTTTCCAGTTATTTCCACTCTCTTTCGTTTTTTTCAGCAAAGTTTTGTGTATACCACCATGGTTAGATTTATGCCTGAATAACTTATTCTTTGATGCTATTATAAATGGAATTTTTAAAATGTTTTCATAGTTCTTTACAACTATATAGAAATATAGCTCATTTGCCTATGTTTGTTTTGCATCCTGCCTCTTTTATTAGTTATAATCGGTTTTGTGTTTTATTTGGAGCTTTATACACATAAGATCATGTGTATATATAATTTTACTTCTGTTTTTTTATTTCTAATTTAGATGCCTTTTATTTCTTTGTCTTGCCTAATTGCTCTGGCTAAAATTGCCAGTGGTATGTTGAATACAAGTGGCAAATGAACCGTGCTTGTCTTGTTCTAGATGTTAGGAAAACAGCTTTCAGTGTTTCATCATTGATCATGATATTAACTGTTGGGTTTTTGTACATCCTATTGTCATGTTGCAGAAAATCCCTTCTATGCCTAGTTTATTGAATATTTTTATTATAGAAGGGTGTTGTATTTCATCAATGTTTTCTCTGCATCAATTGAAATAATCACGTGCTTATTCATTTTACTGTTAGAGTATATTACACTGATTGATTTTTTATATGTTGAGCCACTCTTGCATTTTGGGGATAAATCTCACAGGGTGATAGTTTACAATCCTTTGATTATACAGTATTGCTGCTAGTATTTTGCTAGTATTGCTAGTATTTTGCTGAGATTTTTGCTTATATATTCATAAGGGATATTGTGCTGTAGTTCTCTTTTTTGTGCTCTCTTTGGCTTTGGTATAAGGATAATGCTGTTATCAAAAAATGAATTAGCAAGTATTCCTTCTTCATATATTATGTCGGAAGAGTTTGAGAAGAAATGGTATTAATTCTTTTTTAAATGTTAGGTTGACTCACCAGTTAATGCAGCTATATGGTCATAAATGTTTCTTTGTTAATCGCTTTCGATTACTAATTCAATATCCTAGGTTATAGGTCTATTCATATTTTCTCTTTCTTCTGGAGCCACTTTCGTAGTTTGTATCTTTCTAGTGATTCGTCTATTTCATCCAGGGCAGCTAATTTGTTGTTAGACAGTTGTTCACAGTATACTCCTGTAATCCTTTTGTATTTCTGTAAAGTTGGTAGTAATGGCTCTGCTTTCATTTATTATTTTAATAATTAGTCTTCCATCTTTTGCTCAGTCAATATAGTGAAAGGCTTGATCTTTCAAATAATCTATGTTTATTCATTCTACTGCTCTCCAAACTTCTATTTTATTGATTTATGCTCTAATTATGCTCTCTATTATTTCTTTCATACTGCTAGCTTTGGATTTAGTCTTCTTTTGTCTTCTTCCACTGCCTTTAGATATAGAGTGAGGATGTTGATTTGAGATTTTTCTTAAATGTAGTTGTTTATATCCATACATTTTCCTTTGAACTCTACTTTCACTGCATTCAATAAGTTTTGGTATGTTTTGTTTTTATTTTAATTTATCTCAAGATATTTTATAATTTTGCTTGTGATTTATTTTTTTCACTCACTGGTAGTTGAAGACTGTATTGTTTAATTTCCACATTTTCATGAATTTTCCAGTTTTCACTTATTTATCTGTTGTTTCTTCCATTGTGGTTGTAAATTATATTTTGTATGATTTCAAACTTTTAAAAATGATTAGGATATATTTTGTGGACGAAGATATGGCCCATCCTAGAGAACTTCCATATACACTTGAAAGGAATGTATATTCTGCTGTTGTTGGATGGACTGTGCTGTATATGCGTATTAGCTCTCAGTGGCTTATACTGTTGTTTAACTCTTGTATTTCTCATGAAGCTTCTGTCTGGTTTTTCTATCCATTAATTAAAATGAGGTATTGAAGTGTCCAACTGTGACTATAGAACTGTGGGTTTATCCTTTCAATCCTGTTAATTATTTCAGCTTTACTGAGGTGTAATAGAGAAATAAAAATTGTACATGTGATGCGTTTATATGCACATTCTGAAATGATTACCAAAACGAAGTCAATGAACATGTTAATTAACTCACAGAATAGTTACCTTTTTGTGTGCATGTGTGGGATAAGAAAACTTAACTCTATCCCCTGTGACTGCAGAGTGGACATTCCGGCTGCTCCAGGCTCCAGCAGAGGAAGACTGGGGCAGGTGGCTCCACCAGGGAGGCCCTCAGGCCTGGCGCGCACGCATTCCAGAGGCCACCCAGACCACGCTCCGCCGCCTGGGCGCACAAGCTGCAGTCACCCTCCGTGTGCAGGCAGCAGCTGCCTGGCAACCCCTGAGCCCGCTTGTGCTCCCAGTCTCGCAGAACCAGGGCCAGGTATCCCTGTGGCTGTGGCCAAGCCAGGCATTCTGCCCAGCGGTGGCGGCTGCACAGGGGCGAGAACTGAGAACCCGCCGATCAACCCCACACGGGGTGACTGCCGAGTGCCCATGACAGCGGCCCCGATCTCTCTCAGGTGGAGGAGTGGGTGGGAGGCATGGCCTGGGGGCCCTCAGGCTGGGCGCGCTGGCGATCCCGAGGCCGACCAGGCCATGCACCTCCAGCCCGCCTGGGCTCCCAAGCTGCAGCCGCCTTCTGTGTGCAGACAGCAGCCTCCAGGCAACTCCTGAGCGTGCCCGCTCTCCCCACATCTCCGAAGCAGGGCCAGATGTCCCTGTGGCTGCGGCCAAGCCAGGCGGTCTGCCCTGCAGCAGCTGCACGGGGGCGGGAAGCGGCCCTCAGCCCCATCCCCAGTGGCTGCAGAGGGCCCCTGGCTAGAGGTCTTGAGCTCTGGCAGAGGAGGAGCCGGGTAGGGGCAGGGTCTGGCTTGACCATTTGGAATTACAATACACTTCACTCATCAACCACAGAACATACACTGGAGTATCATCTGCGTGCAGATGAGTATACTGCTCAAAGCGATTTACAGATTCAATGCTTTTCCTATCAAACTACTAATGTCATTTTGCACAAAATAGAAAACATCTAAAATTTATATGGAACCTAAAAGGAGTCTGAATAGCCAAGCCAAAGCAATACTAAGGCTAGAGACATAGGCTAGAGACATCATAGTACATGACTTCAAACTATACTAGAAGACTATAGTAATCAAAACAACATGGTACTGGTAGAAAAACAGACACATAGACCAATGGAACAGACTAGAGTACTAGAAACTAAGGCCACATGCCTGCAACCATCACATCTTTAACAAAGTTGACAAAAGTAAGCAATGGGAAAAAGACTTTTTATTTAATAAATAATGTGGGGATAACTGGCTAGTCATATGCAGAAGAATAAAACTCGACCTCCATATTTCACCAAATACAAAAATTAGCTTAAGATGGATTAAAGAGTTAAATGAAAAATCTCAAGCTATAAAACGCCTAGAAAAAACCTAGGAAATACTTTTTTTGATAACGGCCTTGCCAAGTAATTTATGGCTAAGTCCTCAAAAGCAATTGCAACTAAAACAAAAAATGACAAGTGGGATTTAATTAAACTGAAAAACTTTTGCACAACAAGAGGAACTATCAAGGTAGTAAAGAGATAACCCACAGAATGAAAGAAAATATTCACAAACTACGCATCTAACAGAGGTCTATTATGCAGAACCTATAAGGAACTTAAACAAATCAACAAGCAAGCAGCAAGTAACTCCATTAAAAAGTGGGCAACAGGACATGAACGGACACTTTTCAAAAGAAGACATACACACAAGCACCCAACAAACATATGTAAAAGTGCTCATCGTCATTATTTATTAGAGAAATGCAAATCAAAACCAAAATGAAATACCATTTCACACCGTTCAGAATGGCTTTTTTTGAAAAGTCAAAAGAAAAACACATATTGGTGAAGATTTAGAGAATAGAGAACACTTATACACTTTCTGAAGGAATGTAAATTAGTTCAGTCACTGTGGAAAGCAGGTTGGGGATTTCTTAAAGAACTGAGAATTGATCTACCATTCAATCCAGTAACCCCATTACTGGGTATATACCCGAAAGAAAATAAATATCCTATCAAAAAGACACATGTAGCCATATTTTTATCACAGCAGTATTCACAATCACAAAGACATAGGCTTAATCCAGACATCCATCAGTGGTGGTCTAAAGACTCATGGAATACTATACAGCCAGAAAAAACTCAAAATTATGCCATTTGAAGCAACATGGATGCATTGTTTCCAGCAAACTAATGCAAAAGCAAAAAACAAAATACCGCATGTTCTCTTTCATAAGTAGGAGCTAAATGCTGGGTACACACGGTCATAATACAGAGGGGTGGGAGGGGCCGGGACGGTGGCTTACGCCTATAATCCCAACACTTTGGGAGGCCAAGGTGAGCGGATCACCCGAGGTCAGGAGTTTGAGACCAGCCTGGCCAACGTGGTGAAACCCCGCCTCTAATGAAAACACAAAAATTAACGGGGCATGGTGGCTGGCGCCTGTAATCCCAGCTACTCGGGGGTCTGAGGCGGAGAGTCGCTTGAACCCGGGGGGCGGAGTTTGTAGTGAGCCAAGATCGCGCCACATCACTCCAGCCTGGGCGACGGAGCAAAACTCTGTCTCAAAAACAAACAAACAAACAAAAAACAAAGAGGGAGGGGGGAGGGAATACAGATTGATTAAAACTACCGATTGGTTAGTGTCCTCTCTACCTTGGTAATGAATTC